>NC_000010.11:57718852-57870368 GCF_000001405.40 Homo sapiens
TGGAAATCATAACAATCAGTCTCTCAGACCACAGTGGAATTCAATTAGAACTCAGGATTAAGAAATTCACTCAAAACCACACAACTACATGGAAACGGAACAACCTGCTCTTGAATGACTACTGGGTAAATAACAAAATTAAGGCAGAAATAAATAAGTTCTTTGAGACTAATGAGAACAAAGAGACAACATACCAGAATCTCTGGGACACAGCTAAAGCAGTGCTTAGAGGGAAGTTTATAGCACTGAATGCCCAAATGAGAAAGTGGGAAAGATGTAAAATTGATACCCTAACATCACAATTAAAAGAACTAGAGAAGCAAGAGCAAATAAATTCAAAAGCTAGCAGAAGACAAGAAATAACTAAGATCAGAGCAGAACCAAAGGAGATAGGGACATGAAAAACCCTTCAAAATAATCAATGAATCCAGGAGCTGGTTTTTTGAAAAGATTAACAAAATAAATAGATCACTAGGCAGACTAATAAAGAAGAAAAGAGAGAACAATCAAATAGACACAATACAAAATATGGTAAAGGGGAAAGCACCACTGATCCCACAGAAATACAAACTACCATCAGAGAATGCTATAAACACCTCTACGCAAATAAACTAGAAAATCTAGAAGAAATGGCTATATTCCTGGACACATACTCCCTCCCAAGGCTAAATAAACCAGGAAGAAGTCTAATCCCTGAATTGACCAATAACAAGTTCTGAAATTGAGGCAGTAATTAATAGCCTACCAACAAAAATAAGCCCAGAACCAGACAGATTCACAACCAAATTCTACCGGAGGTACAAAGAGGAACTGGTATCATTCTTTCTGAAACTATTCCAAATCATTGAAAAAGAGAGACTCCTCCCTACCTCATTTTATGAGGCCAGCATCATCCTGATACCAAAACCTGGCAGAGACAAAACAACAACAAAAAAAGAAAATTTCAGACCAATATCCCTGATGAACAGCAATGCAAAAATCCTCAATAAAATACTGGCAAACGGAATCTAGCAGCACATCCAAAAGCTTATCCACCATGATCAAGTTGGCTTCATCCCTGGGATGCAAGATTGGTTCAGCATATAGAAATCAATAAATGTAATCCATCACATAAACAAAACCAATGGCAAAAACCACGTGATTATCTCAATAATTGCAGAAAAGGCATTTGATAAAATTCAACACCCCTTCATGCTAAAAACACTCAATAAACTAGGTATTGATGGAATGTATCTCAAAATAATAAGAGCTATTTATGACAAACCCACAGCCCATATCACACTGAATGGGCAAAAGCTGGCACAAGACAAGGCTGCCCTCTCTCACCATTCCTATTCAACATAGTATTGGAAGTTCTGGCCAGGGCAGTCAGGCAAGAGAAAGAAATAAAGGGTATTCAGATAGGAAGAGAGAAAATCAACTTGTCTCTGTTTGCAGATGACATGATTGTATATTTAGATAACCCCATCATCTCAGCCCAAAATCTTCTTAAGCTGATAAGCAACTTCAGCAAAATCTCAGGATACAAAATCAATGTGCAAAAACCACAAGCATTCCTATACACCAATAATAGATAAACACAGAGCCAAATTATGATTGAACTCTCATTCACAATTGCTACAAAAAGAATAAAATACCTAGAAACACAACTTATAAGGGATGTGAAGGACCTCTTCAAAGAGAACTACAAACCACTGCTCAAGGAAATAAGAGAGGATACAAACAAACAGAAAGACATTCCATGCTCATGGATAGGAAGAATCAATATCATGAAAATGGCCATACTGCCCAAAGTAATTTATAAATTCAATCCTATTCCCATCAAGCTACCATTGACTTTCTTCACAGAATTAGAAAGAACTACTCTAAATTTTATATGAAACCAAAAAAAGCCTGCATTGCCAAGACAATCCTAAACAAAAAGAACGAAGCTGGAGGCATCACACTACCTTACTTCAAACTATACTACAAGGCTACAGTAACTCAAACAGCATGGTACTAGTACCAAAACAGATATATAGACCAATGGAACAATACAGAGGCCTCAGAAATAATGCCACACATATACAACCTTTTGATCTTTGACAAACCTGACAAAAACAAGCAATAGGGAAAGGATCTCCTATTCAGAAGATGGTGTTGGGAAAACTAGCTAGCCATATGCAGAAAACTGAAACTGGACCCCTTCCTTACACCTTATACAAAAATTAACTCAAGGTGGATTAAAGACTTAAACATAAAACTTAAAACCATAAAAACCATAGAAGAAACCCTAGGAAGTACCATTCAGGACATAGGCATGGGCAAAGACTTCATGACTAAAACACCAAAAGGAATGGCAACAAAAGCCAAAAGCAACTATCATCAGAGTGAACAAGCAACCTACAGAATGAAAGAAAATTTTTGCAATCTATCCATCTGACAAAGGGCTAATATCCAGAATCTACAAGGAACTTAAACAAATTTACAAGAAAAAACAAACAACCCCATCAAAAAGTGGATGAAGGATATGAACAGACACTTCTCAAAAGAAGACATTTATGTGGCCAACAAACATATGAAAAAAATATCATCATCACTGGTTGTTAGAGAAATGCAAATCAAAATCACAATGAGTTAGCTTCTCACATTAGTTAGAATGGCGATCATTAAAAAGTCAGGAAACAACAGATGCTGGAGAGGATATGGAGAAATAGGAATGCTTTTACGCTGTTGGTATGAATTTAAATTAGTTCAACCATTGTGGAAGACAGTGTGGCAATTCCTCAAGGATCTAGAACCAGAAATACCATTTGACCCAGCAATCCCATTACTGGGTAGATACCCAAAAGATTATAAATCGTTCTACTATAAAGACACATGCACATGTATGTTTACTGCAGCACTATTCACAATAGCAAAGACTTGGAACCAACCCAAATGCCCAGCAATGATAGACTGGATTAAGAAAATGTGGCACATATACGCCATGGAATACTATGCAGTCATAAAAGAATGAGTTCATGTCCTTTGCAGGGACATGGATGAAGCTGGGAATTATTCTCGGCAAACTAACACAGGAGCAGAAAACCAAACACCGCATGTTCTCACTCATAAGTGGTCACTGAACAATGAGAACATATGGACCCAGGGAGGGGAACATCACACATCGAGGCCTGTTGGGGCATGGGGGACTAAGGGAGGGATAGCATTAGGAGAAATACTTAATGTAGATGACAGTTTGATGGATGCAGCAAACCACCATGACACATGTATACTATGCAATAAAGCTGCACATTCTGCACATGTATCCCAGAACTTAAAGTATAATAAAAAAAATCTGCAAACTAACAACAAAAAAATCCAGGTGGAAACATTTACTGCATTTTACTACCTTAAAATCCTTTAATCTGATATGATGAATATTAATTTTTAAATTACCAAAGTTTCCACTTAAGCGGAAAATTGTGTTCACAGTCCTAGGGGTGACAAGTCTATCATTTTAAATGTCACCTAATAATTTTAAGTAACAAAAACCCATAAAGAAGCCAGAGTTATGACATATAAAAGTAATGGCACATGTTCTAATAAATATTGATATTGGGCCTTGTACTTGTATCATCATGTTTATCTCTGTCTTTCTCAGTGTTGTTTTACACTTTTCTGCCTTATTTGTTATTTATTATTCTTTACTCCAAGTAATACCCAAGGAATTTCCTAGCCACACAAAGATCATTGATAAAAAGCTACCTGTTCACTGCAAGAATACAATTAACTTCAAATTAGATATAGTGACTGTATTCCTTCTTGTTTCATGTAATTCCAATGTAGTTCAATTGGAATTAAAGATTCTGCATGAAATTGGTCCCAAGTAAAACTACTATGTATTATTCCAGTCATAAATGTCAAACGTTTAAAATAAAGAATACCTAATGATGAATAAGGTTAAAATTAGAGGTAACCTTCGGAAGACATATGTGTGCAGTCATATTTTAATAGAGATTGGGAGATGCACAGGTATTGGCTGGAATTGCCAGGCACGGGCAAGGTCAGCATGAAAACACTCACCAAAGCAGGTCCCAAAGCAGCTAACCTTGAGTCCTTAGGACCCACTGATGTCTAAGGGAGTCACGGAGGACTAAGATTATGAGCCTGTAGGCCACCAATTTCCTGTTTACCAAAACACATCGAAGATGTGACTGTGAACCTCACTCAGAAGAATTAGACAACCCAGGACAGACATATGAAGCTGGAGAAACCCAGGGACCAGATCTCTCTGGAACAAATTCCCAAAGTCTTCAGTATTTTTCAATAAGCCAGGCCTCAGATTACAAACCAGACATGATCTCCCAGTTAAAGCAAGAAGAACTATGGGGAGAAACAAGAAATTAATCTGGGTTCTAGAAATTATTTATCAGGTATTTTCCCCCCATGAAAGAAAATAAATAAATGACGGCTTATAATTTATTATGAATGGGGTCTGTGGAAAGGAGGAATTTAAGGAAAAGAATGATATCCTTTCCCATGGCAACTACCCAGATTTTGCGACTAGTGTTGAAAGGAGAGAGCCATCTTCAAAGCAGAACAATTTTTATGAAGCCCTCCTACTGAGTGAAAATAGTTAGATTGACAAGAGATGAACCTTTGTCATTGTCATGCAAAGTAACCCAAGGGTTGTAGGGATCAGTCAGAAGGCACCAGGAATTCAAAAGAAAGATGTTTGAAGGAAGTGGCTTTACCCAAAGGAAAGCATTATCTCACAATCAAATCTATGGAAAGGAGGAATTTAAGAAAAAGAATGATGTGATTTCCAGCCTTCATGTACCCCACATACAGCAGACATTGGAGACTCACAGGGGTGGGAGAGTGGGGTGGTGGGGGCGAGGAACGGGAAATTACTTAATGGGTACAATGCACATTATTTGGGTAATGATAATACTAAAAGCCTAGACTTCACCACTATACAAGAGGTATAGACCTATTATTTTGTAACTGACAACACTGACAAGAGATACTCAATTTGCTGAAGTCATATGTCAATATACTCTGATTAATCTTTGAGAAATCTTAACAAATTTTTTCAAGAAGTTTAAAGGAAAATCAATCAGATATTTTTCCACCTGACCATGATAAGATAATTAATTTGGGTTCTAGAAATTATTTATCAGGTATTTTCCCCCAGTGAAAGAAAATAAATGGGTGCTTATAATTTATTATGGAGTACCATGAAGTCCTAAAATATACTTAATACAAAAGTTGAAAAAACTCTAAAGAACAAAAGTTGGTTTTATGAACAACACTTTCCAGAAATGGCTATTTTTCAAAAAAGAAATAGACTTCTAACCAATCTTTGTGCTATCAAGTTAAGTGTTATTTCCTTGATCTCAGGGATGTTTCAAAGAAATATTCATCAAAAAAAAAAAAAAAAACAAAAGCAGAGATGAAATAGAATAGATAATCTGAAACAAAGCTAATATAAGAAGGAAAATTGAAATTGTAAGTCAGAGCAAGAAGAATCAAATAATTGGAAATTGACAATTGAGATATGAAACACTGGAAAAGGAAGGTAAGTTAACATATTTTCTGACGTGGCACAAAGGGCAACATTCAGAACAGAAGCAGGCAGTATTTTAATCAATCATTTGAAGATGAGCTTATAAATAAGAAAAGCAAGATCAAAAGAAACCCATAAAGGTACTAACAAAATTTATGCAAAACTGGCTTTCAATATGCACTTAAAACTACTTATTTCAATTCTGAAAGGATTTTTAAAGTACATATTTCTTCCAATACTGCATTTTTAAGTACATATTTTCCCACTACAAAACACCTGGAATAATAGCTGCACCCAGTGGGTACCCAATAAATATTTGATTAAAGTATGAATTTAGATGATCATTATATTTTACACTTACATTCACTCAAGCAACAGCTGCCTATTTTTCTAACATCATTCTACTCATGCTGCCACAATCTGAATAATTATGCTCTTCGCATATGTATCAGCTCCAAAAAGGGTTGGTGTGTAGATCTAGAAGAAGCACCACTTCATAATGTGTTTGATAAATTATTTAAAGTATGTCTAAATCACCACAGTGTTATGGTATTGATACAAAGCTTATTTATTTTACTCTGTAGTTTGTAGACTATAACCTAATTACAGAAACCTAAAAATCTTGAACAATCATTGTTCTTTATACAAGGAGATATTGCTGCTCAGTAGATGCTACATAAACAAGCCAAATAAGGTGTCTGAGGAGTTCTATCGTTGGCTTTCTGTGTAATCCCAGGTGACTTACTTAACCTATCTCTGTTCCTCATTTGCTGATTAGCAAAGTGAAGATTAATTAGGCTTTCCTAATTTGAGGTTATTTTGATACGGATGATGACCAAATACTTTTTCAAGATGAAGGCAGAAGGTAATGCTGTAGTTTTTTAATTCCCAATTTCACCTTAATTTAAATTAGGTCTAGTTTGTCATATGCAAAGATGGGCATGAATTTCAAAAGACTTTTAATGATTGTGTTGTGGGAAAACATGAACATTTGTGAAAAGCATCTCTGTTTTTCACATGAAGATAGAATATGACAGGGACACCAACTATATGTGTATAAAACTCCTGGAAATATTTTAGTAATAAGCAAAGACTTCTGTTTCGCAACTTAACAATGCCTACAGAATGAAGTTACCACAGAATTAAGCTTTGTGTCCATGGCAAAATCAGGGGTTCCTAGCCCTGATCCTTGATCACAGACTTGCTTTACTATGTGACTGAAGATAAGAAAGGAAATTAACCTCAATTTTCTTATTAACAACTGTATACATTAGATTTAATGGCTAGTTCCCATGACGTATACTTCTAATCCATAAAACAATAAGGAGCCTGTATGAGGTAAAGGGAGAAGAGATGCAGAAGGCTTGGTTCAGAGACAACGTAAAGTATCAATTATATTTATATTTATATTCCACTGTGTTGCTCAGATTATCTTCTGGCCCAGCCCAGAGTAATTGTAAGAGACTTCTGGGGAGAAGGGGAGGAAGAAATATGTCAAAGATCTGTGTCTTCAAAGTTTCTCCAAAATGAGAGAGAAGAAAAAAACGCATGGAAATGAAATACAGGTTAAGAAAAGAAATGAAGCATGATGTTTGCTGAGGTGGAGCAAAAGAATAATTAAGCCAATTTCATAAGCAACAAATCCTTACATCTGTCCTAATCTGGAAACCAACATGACGATGAAAGAGACACATGAAGAACAAATTCTGAAGTGAGCATAGTGACCAGAGAATGAGAAGATTAGGTTTTGAGTGGCAGAGGAAAAGATAAAAATATAAGGTGGAAAAATTGATAGTCACACTTGCTTGCAAGTACACTTTAACATTTGAGTTACTCCCTTGAACTAGTAAGGAAAAACTGAAGTCTGATATTTTCAGCTATTTTTCTTATGGCAGCTAAATCACAGAGATGAAATTCTACCATTATTATTATGACCCTATTATATGGAATAGCCAGAGAACAAGAAAGAAAGGCATTAAGGACAAACTGTTCTCTTATTTTGAGGTTTTGCCCAGAGTGATTTATTTACTTACCAAGTGGTATATAAAAATTATTATTTGGTGCTGAGGCTCCATGGCTTAACATGTAGGTTTTATCATAATGACCAAATAAATCTAAAACACTTTTTTTGGGGGGGCGTTAAGGCATCTGCCTTGACTGCTGAATCTGAGAATAAAATGAACTTACCCAACTTTGAGTTCTCACAAGTCTATTTAGTTATACCTCCTAGTTCTTCAAACTAATTATCATGAATCATAAAACCAAACTTTTATCATGCCTGATGATTTAACATGCTTTATGATTAATTTTTCTATTTAGGCAATTGCCTCATCCTTTGAGAAAGAACAATTTAGTGTAAGTGACAGAGGCTTTTCTCATGTGGCTCCTTTTAATATCTGTGCCTGGATGACTCTTACATTTCTTATCATTTCCACTACAGTAGTCAAATATCTATGGAAATCTGTTTTTTTTAATAAATTTTACAGGGACAGAGTTTAGAAAATAAATCAGTTTGACAAATGCATCTTTATTGGATTTTATGACCATATCCATAACTCTTCAGGAAATGCTTTTCATGAGATAGGAGAAATAAGCAGAGAATAAATATACCATCAAAATTCAAATGCTGGATACTGAGTGAATATAAAACATCTAAGGGCTTATACGAGTTGTGGAGAAGAGCAATAGAAATGAAAAAGATGAGGAAAGCCCTTGGAGCCTGTTATTAACAATAAGACAATTCAGCAAGAGAATAACAAAGTAGGGATATACAAGTTTAGGAAGAGATTCTCCTTTAAGATGCCAAGTTTAAATTAAATAAAACAAGCAACAGCCGCCTTATATCCTCAGGTTCAACACTGATGGAGAATGATATTCAAAGAGCTGATAGTATTTATAGTCAGTGTAGTTAAGAGTGTAAGCTACCTCAGGATCAGATGGAAAAACAATGAATATAAATGTTAGAACTCTCTACAGGGATAACCCAGTTCCCAGGCTGAGGAAAACCTCTATGTTATTGTCACACTAATAATAAAAAATGGCAGTATTGTTTTCCAAGTGGAAAGAAATCATTTGGTTTTAGTCACAGACTTGACTGATCCTTGAATTAAAGCAAGAAAAGAAGAAAATTATTCTTTTATACTATGAAGGAAAGAGTTGGTTGCTGAATTTCTAAGGATCCCATGAAGATTTTCACGAGCTAGGTTCCCTTGCTTTCCGAAATTTTCCCTGTAGCTCTTCACTTTGAACTATGCTTTGCATAACCACTCTAGATTTTCTTATGCTCACATGAGACTGTGCCATTAATTTAGACTATGCTAAGTCAGGCAATGTGAAGAATTTCTAACTGAAATTTTTAAAACTTCTCTGCTCAATCTATTTCTTGACCTTATCAAACTGCTTTTTCTCTTTGCAGAAGTTAGTTTATACTGTTTTAACCTCCGAATTATGTTTCTATTTTTGACCCTTTCAGAATGGACACATCAGACAAATCTAAAGTGCTAAATGTGTGTTTGCTATAAAAGAAGCTCATTGTTTTTTTCTTTTCTTCAGTCATTTCAATTGGTAGATAATTCCAAAATACTTTAAAAATATATTTACCTCTCAGTTATATCAGCAATATTGAATACTTATAAACTAATTTCTTTTGGGTTGAAATATTTTATGCCCACCCATGTAATTGATGGGGAAATATATATAACATGGGGTTACAGTGTGGATGTTCGTCCCCTCCAAATTTCATGTTGAAATTTGATCCCTAATATTTGAAGTAGGACCTAGTGAGAGGTGTTTGGACTATGGGGACAGATCCCTCATGAGTAGATTAATGCCTTCCCTTGGAGGTGAATGAGTTCTCATTCTATTAGTTCCCGAGAGAATTTGTTGTTAAAAAGAGCCTGGCACCTCCCCTGTCTCTCTTGCTTCTTCTGTCACCATGTGATCTCTGCAGACCCTGCTCCATCTCACCTTCTGGCAAAAGTGGAGGCAGCCTGAGGCTTTCATCAGTTGCAGGTGCCCAATCTTGAACTTTCCAGTCATCAGAATTGTTGAGCCAAATCTTTTTTCTCTATAATTACCCAACTTCAGGTATTTCTTTATAGCTACACAAAATGAACTAAAACACATAACAAGAGAAAAACTAGCCAAATGTGCATACAAACGAAAGTTAACCTGTATGCTAGTAATTTTCTTGTGGAAAAGAAGAAAGACAACTGTTCTATGTTTCCTTCATCTTTCAATGCTCTTACTTCATAACAGCAAGTGTGCCCCTCCAGAAGTAGGACTTCCTTTCATAGCTATCATCACAGTCTAAATTCTGATCAATTTTGTCTGTACCATTCTCTTGCTCCTAGCAACAGTGGTGCTCTCTTACAGCCTTGGTGCTGCTGGATAACTTAGCGCTTTTACTTCTCCAAGAGTGTTTTCTTTTGCAAGCAAAAGAAAAACAACTGAATCTTAATGGAAAAGATCCTGCTTTTCAGTGAGTTCTAAAATTATCCTTGCTAGGATTTATAGTGTTGCTCTCGTAGAAACCTTTATTAATCTCAAGCAAAAGTTACTAAGATCTCCACAATAGTGGTTCCTTAAGCACATGGTTCTGTATTTTTTATTCTAACAGGAGAATAATTTTTCATGCTAATGCAGCTTTCTCTAATTGTAAATAACCATATGCAGTGTACAAGTTCCCCTGCTGTTTTGAGCTCCTTACCCTAGCATGATTTTCTTCTACTTGCAGGAAACTGATACTTATTTGTATAAAAAGAACTCTCCAATGAAAAAGTAGTAGTCAATCTTTTAAATTTAGTTCCCAAACTTGCAGAAAGCAAGCCAATTTTCTAAGAGCTAATTTACCAAAAGTCAATTCATCCAATACCTCCTTTACCAAATACCCAGCTTCTGAAATAAACTCTCCTCTTGATCTTTTCCCCCAGATGAAGGACCTCCTTTCTCTGCCCCACCTTCCACCAAATTTTGCTGTGGGGCCATAATAGAAGCAAATGCAACAAACTTTAAAATGTTATTAGTAAGATGAAATGAGAGCCAGATAACTAAACCTTAGGGAGATCTTCAAAAGTTTAAAAACCAAACAATCCAATATAAGTTACTCTAAATTTCATAAATGTTTAAAGAAACATGCAAATTTAGCTAATAAGTCATTCAGAAATTCTCTAATTGATAAACTTGATTTTGGTGGATTCTGGTTTTTTTTCAACTTTTATTGTAGGTAAAGGGGCAGACATGCAGATTTGTTACATGGGTATATTGCATGTCACTGAAGTTTGTTATACAAATGATCCCATCTCCCAGGTAGTAAGCATAGAACCCAATAGGCATTTTTTTTTAACCTCTGTATCCCTTCCATCCTCCCCTCTCTAGTGGTCCCCAGTGCCCATTGTCTATTGTTCCCATCTTTGTGTACACGTGTATTCAATGTTTAGCGGCCACTGGTAAGTGAGATCATGCAATATTTGCTTTCTTGTTCCTGTGTTTATTTGCTCAGGATAATGGCCTCCAGCTGCATCCATGTTGCTGCAAAGAAAATGATTTTATTCTTTTTATGGCTACATATTATTCCACAGTGTATATGTACCACATTTTTAAATCCAGTCCACCACTGATGGACATCAAGGTTGATTCCATGTCTTTGCTACTGTAAATAGTGTTGCAATGAACATGTGAGTGCATGTGTCTTTTTGGTAGAACAACTTATTTTCCTTTGAGCGTACACCCAATAATGGGATTGCTGGGTCAAATAGTGTTCTAAGTTCTTTTGAGAAATCTCCAAACTGCTTTCCTCAGTGGCTGAACTAATTTACATTCCCACAAACTGTGTATAAGTGTTCCCTTTTCTCTGCAACCTCACTGATATCTGTTACTTTTGTCTTTTTAATAGTAGCTATTCTGACTGGTGTGAGATGGTATTTCATTGTGGTTTTGATTTGCATTTCTTTAATGATTAGTTATATAAGATTTTTTCATACATCTGCTGACCACATGGATGTCTTCTTTTGAGAAGTGTCTCTTCATGGATTAGATTCTGGCAAATCGATTTACATTTGAGGCTTCAAGTATTGGTCAGGCACAGATCAGGATTTGGGGGTTACTACCGTGCTATCAATAAAGTCATATAAATTTGTCAAGGTGAGAATAGGGTACTTGCCTTTCTCTATACCTAGGAGAACACACAAGCCCTTTCCCCTACTGTATGAAGACTAAGTTGAACTAGAATATTAATTTAATATGCATTGCTTGCTCTGCTTTCCTAGTATATAAACAAGGCAATTTACTTAGCCTCTAGGACAAGGCTCCTTTGAGTTCAAGCAGAATCAGTTGGAAGCCCCCTTGCTCAGTTGGGAGGCAGAGACCCTAACAGTCAATTGCACAACTAATTTCCATAGCCTATCTCTGTAGTTTATTTTAACTACTCCTCACCCTGGGCTTTTTCCCCTTCCTGGCTCTTCTCTGACTTCTCTTCCACTTCTCTAGTATCTAAATCTTAATTCATTATATCTCCAAATTATCTAGTAATAGGAAAGCCATGTCCATTGTAGCTACAGGTCTTACCAACCAGTGGCCCTTAGTTGCCCTTAGCATACCAAGGATACTTCATACTGAGCTTCTATGCTGTATTAATCCATTCATTTTTGGCAGTTGGGATAACATGGTTATTATCCATAAATAGTTACTGTAAGAGGCAATTAACATTCAAGGAGGTTCATCTGAACTCTTGTGAAAAACAACAATTGCTACTATTGAGCAACTACTATGACCTAGTAGATATGGAAAGGAGAGTCTTCATCTTGGGAAGAAGACAAGGAGGGATTTGTGACAAATATGCTCCTGAGCTCTTAAGTAATGCTTTATAGAAGCAAAATTAACCTGAAGATTATGGTTGAAAGCTGTTAACTACAGTAAGAGAGAAAGAATTAGTCTAGTCTTCAGTGCTATTAAACTTTATCAAGAAAGACAAACAATTGAACCTTGTAAAAATTAGTCTTTGTTTCTTTATGTTTGGAGAAGAAGATGGGCCAGAGGAACAGAGAGAAAGAAGCAATGAATATCAAACAGGCACTGTTAGACTCAGCTTTGGGCAAAGGCTGTGACTAGAGTTGGTACAGTTCAAATTTGATTCATTTGTATAATATTTTGAACTTGAGGAATTACTATAATTGTATCAACCACCAGACATATCCATTGGAGAAAGAAAAATGCTCAGACCACAATATCCTACATTATGACCAAGCAGGGGACAGGAAGATGGTCCACTTCACTCCAAAAAATGAATCTCTGTTGTGAGATACTGGGTAATATTAGGGCTTAATATGATTGGTTCCAGCATTTGGTTAGGGGTGGACAGACATGATTCCCCTACTCCTGGGACAAGTGTGTCTATTTGGAACCAGGTACAGGGAATTTAAAAACTTCCTAGAGAGATCAAGGCCAGGCTATTTTTAGTCCAACCGAAAATAAATTAGCAAAGTGAGCCCTATAATGTCGGAATGTCAAAATAATGATATTACCACATGAAAATTACTACATAGAATTAAGCTAATGGAAGAGCAGATGCAAAAACTAACAAATGAAGGTCTTGTTGGTTTGCAGGTGGCTTACACACCATCTTCGTTAGTAATTATTTTGGGTTGACCCTCCTGCCTCCTGAGCCAAACTACATCTTATTCTCTCCTCACACTTATTTCCCTGAATAACTATGGAGAAATCAAGAAACAGCCAGGAATAATAACAGAAGCCTAATGCATATTAGATAATAATTCTCAAAGATAAGTATTAGAGCCTCATTTGTAGATAAGGAAACTATAGCACAGAAAGGTGGGGTAGCTTTCCCTGGGTCACAAAATGAGTAAGAGCCAAAGTCCCTATTGCAAACTAGGTCTGAATGAATCCAAAGCCTATAGTCTAAGCAAAGCTTTGATTATCTCATTTGAGTTCCAGGACCATCTAACTGAGATCCTCTGTACTGTCTTCCTCAACATTAAAGGGAAATATATTTAAGGCAAAGTTTCAAGAATCTTTTTTCATCAGAAATATTATTTGCTTGTGTTACCGGCATCAATCTCCAGCTAACACACAATTTCCCACTACTAGGCTAATGTGAGCCTGCTGCCAGAAGACACATCGGTGGCTGAAATAGGATTGCATCTGACCATTTCACTTTCTTAAGGCTCACATAATGCCGGTGGCTCTGATGGTGATAGCTTGTCTGTTCTGACACTAAGAAAATGTCTTCCAATTCCTTTGTTGCTGCAGATAAGTAAAAGGTACTTAGTACACACAATGTGGAGCACAATGACCCAGAGACAAAAAGCAGCTATTTGATTTCAATCTACATCAGGAGCTGGAAATCTCAGAGACAAGAGCATATTAAAAACATTATTTTCTGATCGCTTTCTAAGACTCTCATGAAATGGGCTTCACTTGGTGTTTCCAATTGCTTCCTGATTGTTTAAGTGACCCATAACTTGAAGATTGCCACATTCCTCCCCAAAAGGTAACCTGGAAATGCAAGGAGAGTCAGTAAATGTTGCGTCGTTACACAATTTCAGATCTCAAGGTTTCTGTTTCAGGTCATTTGTGAGTGAAAGCAGTCCTTTCCTAACCTGTGCAATAGAAGCAGAAAATATTGTATGTTTGCATTGTGTCTTCTCTCTTCAAAACTGTTATTTAAGTAATATCAAAATCCTATGCAAACATTTCTGCTCTTATTTCACATATCTTAGACATGGGTTTCTCCTTAGGGCATGCTTTTGAGTTCAAGCTCAATGATATCTAATAAACTACACAAGTGTTACATGAGTAAGATACCAGTAGAATCCACAACTATCAAATCAGTCTTACAATGTTACGTCACCAGAAAAACTTCATCTAAATAACCACAGTAACCTTACAAAATCCCTAAGATAGCAGACAAAGGAATAGGAAAGGTCCAGGTAAATGGACATGTCATCAAACAGGTACAGAATGTAAGTGCGGAAGTTCACAAATGCAGGAAAGGACAGATAAGGAAAGTAGGGTTAAAGGGGACGGGGAACAATTTAGATGAGGGATTAAGTGAATGACTTTCAACGAAAAGGAAAATAGTTCTTTATATATTATAGATATGATAAAACAATCACCTTCTATAAATTCATTCCACCTACAGTCTTTCTCTCTTAGCCTATAAACATGCTTTTCCCATTTTAAAGGCAAAAAACTAACAAAACAAAACCACATCCCTCAACTGTGAGGTTTCTTCTAGTTAATGTCCTCTCTCTTCTTCCCATTTGTTAAGCTTCTTGAGAAATATTTATCTACATTTATATTTCCACCCCTTTTCGTGCTTGATTTACTCTCTTTTTTTTTTTTTGGTTTTTAAAGAAAAATTTTATTTAACAATTTTTAGATTATATTACAACTATGTACTAATTTTTGAGAACAAAGAATGAGTCACATGAACTTTCTTTTTGGTATTGTTTTTCTGATAAAATATGATAGCATGATAAAAATTCCTTTACTTGACTTTTTTTAAATTATTATACTTTAAGTTCTAGGGTACATAGGCACAATGTGCAGGTTTGTTACATATGTATACATGCACCATGTCGGTGTGCTGCACCCATTAACTAGTCATTTACATTAGGTATATCTCCTAATGCTATCCCTCCCCCCTCCCCCCACCCCATGACAGGCCCCAGTGTGTGATGTTCTGTTTCCTGTGTCCAAGTGTTCTCATTGTTCAATTCCCACCTATGAGTGAGAACATGCGGTGTTTGGTTTTTTGTCCTTGTGATAGTTTGCTGAGAATGATGGTTTCCAGATTCATCCATGTCCCTACAAAGTACATTAACTCATCATTTTTTATGGCTGCATAGTATTACATGCTGTATATGTGCCATATTTTCTTAATCCAGTCTATCATTGATGGACATTTGGGTTGGTTCCAGGTCTTTGTTATTGTGAATAGTGCTGCAATAAACATACGTGTGCATGTGTCTTTATAGCAGCATGATTTATAATCCTTTGGGTATATACCCAGTAATGGGATGGCTGGGTCAAATGGTATTTCTAGTTCTAATCCTTGAGGAATTGCCACACTGTCTTCCACAATGGTTGAACTAGTGTACAGTCCCACCAACAGTGCAAAAGTGTTCCTATTTCTCCGCATCCTCTCCAGCACCTGTTGTTTCCTGACTTTTTAATGATCACCATTCTAACTGGTGTGAGATGGTATCTCATTGTGGTTTTGATTTGCATTTCTCTGATAGCCAGTGATGATGAGCATTTTTTCACGTGTCTGTTGGCCTCATAAATGTCTTCTTTTGAGAAGTGTCTGTTGGTATCCTTTTCCCAGTTTTTGATGGGGTTGTTTTTTTCTTGTAAATTTGTTTGAGTTCTTTGTAGATTCTGGATATTAGCCCTTTGTCACATGAGTAGATTGCAAAAATTTTCTCCCATTCTGTAGGTTGCCTATTCACTCTGATGGTAGTTTCTTTTGCTGTGCAGAAGCTCTTTAGTTTAATTAGATCCTATTTGCCAATTTTGGCTTTTGTTGCCATTGCTTTTGGTGTTTTTGTCATGAAGTCCTTGCCCATGCCTATGTCCTGAATGGTAATGCCTAGGTTTTCTTCTAGGGTTTTTATGGTTTTAGGTCTAACATGTAAGTCTTTAATCCATCTTGAATTAATTTTTGTCTAAGGTGTAAGGAAGGAATCCAGTTTCAGCTTTCTACATATGGCTAGCCATTTTTCCCAGCACCATTGATTAAATAGGGAATCCTTTCCCCATTTCTTGTTTTTGTCAGGTTTGTCAAAGATCAGATGGTTGTAGATTTACTCTCTTTCATCCTTCAGGCCAATTCAAACTTCATGGCTTCTATATGACCTTCCTCAGGCTCCCTGTAGAGTGATTTGTCACTCTCACTGGTAACACAGAGCACATTTTACATTGCACTAATCAAAATACCTTGGGTTCTAATTTCTTCTTTGTAAGTCTATTACCTCCTAAACCGTGAACTGTTTGGAAGCTGTGACTATTCATCATTATGTCTATCACACAATGCATAGATGAAGCATTTGAGACTGTTGGAGGAGAGAGAGAGAGACGCAAACAAGCATAACATAATGTGTTACAAGAGAAAAATGCACCATTCCCACATATTATGTAGGTAATGCTTTTGTAACAGATACAGAGGGGCATAATTAAAAGTGGCCCAGTCTTCTCAGGAGGGTCAGGTTTATGCTCCTAGAACTCTTATTGAAGGAGAATAGTTCACCTGTTTTAAAATAAACAAACATGCAAAGGCTTTCAAAGAAAAGAAAAATCAAGTGTGGAAACATAGAAACGTGAGACAATCAGAAGTCTTTTAAGTCACTGTGGTGGCTGAAGCATAGGTTGAGAGGAAGAGAGGAGCAGGAGACAGGTCTATAAAAGAAGGCTAGGACCTTCTAGGTTTCTAACAGCCTTGTAGGCCTGACAAGGAGTATGACTTCATCCAAGAGGCAGTGAGAATTACTGAAAGACTAAGCAGGATACAGACACATGCCGGGTGTTAGGAAGATCATTCTGGCAGCAGTGTGGAGAACGAAGTGAAGAAGAGCAGGACTACAGACAGAGAGATGAGTAGAATATTTTTGTCTCTTGAGGGTTTGAGCTAAACAGTACAGCTTGGAATAATAAGATTGATAACACATACTGAGAAGTTACTAAAGCCAGTCATCATTCTAAGTCTGTTTATTATTTACCTTAATTATAAGAATAACTCACTGAAGCAGGTGATATTATTGTTTTCATTTTAAACCAGGAAGGTAAGAAACTTGGAGAGCTCTAAGTAAATTGCTAAACCAGAACTCTAACCAAAGAAAGCTAATAAATCCAAAGCCTAAATTAGCTTAAGAATACCAGAGGAAATACTAATAGAAGCCACAGGTCTTAATATCTGATTTTATTAGAGGTAATTTTAATAATTTCTGTTCTACAAGTTGTTTTCAGAAGACAGTCTTTCCTGTGAATTTCACAATAAAATGTACCAATTCACTAACTCTACAGTTGACTTGCAACTTCTTTAACATCTAGAGAGACAAGATGTAAAATTAGGACTCATTTGTCTGCTATATATGCTATAAACATAGCAAAGTAAAAACAAAATGCACAGAACATATGGAATGATGGTTGACCTTGCCTAACCATCTACAGCCTTTTGTATGTCCTTCTCCCTCCTTCCAGGAGCCAGTGCACAAATGCAAGGAGTACTGCTCAAAGAGCCACTGCATTTCCAAAAGATATATTTTAAATGAATTTTAACAAAAACAGTATTTACACAATGCATTATATTCCTATCTCTACTTTTTACATACAACAGGCACTCCAGAACATTCAGAAAGGTTATCTATTTCTTTTAAAATACTAAAAATGTTCAACTATATATATATATAGTAGGAAGGAATAAAATGCACACATGGGAAATGCTAATAATAAGAACATGTCTCCTAAATATGACTAGTTTAGCATAGAACACCCTTCCACCACAGGGTCTTGTGCTCCATCACCTCGAAACACTGAATCACTGTATGTTATTCTTGGTGATGCATCTGGGGAAGTCTAGCAATTCCATTTCCAGAAGACATCTCTTTCCTACAATGCATTATTAATTAATTAATTTTTAAATTTACTCTTTACAAAAGGGCATTTGCAAAATATCTACTGTATGTAGGCAACTTCTTTATGTCTACAAGGTGTAGATGTCGCAAAAATAAGTTTTCTTTTTTGTTTGTTTGTTTAGACGGAGTCTCGCTCTGTCGCCCAGGCTGGAGTGCAGTGGCTGCAAGCTCCGCCTGCCATGTTCACGCCATTCTCCTGTCTCAGCCTCCCGAGTAGCTGGGACTACAGGCTCCTGCCACCAAGCCCAGCTAATTTTTGTATTTTTAGTAGAGACAGGGTTTCACCGTGTTAGCCAGGATGGTATGGATTTCCTGACCTTGTGATCTGCCCGCCTCGGCCTCCCAAAGTGCTGGGATTACAGGCGTGAGGCTGGGGAGGACGCTGAGAGCTACTTTTGCATAGTATGTACACAGGTCAGAAAATCTTTCCAAAGGCTGGTGGGCACTTGTTGAGGGCCGTATATGGTACTTTGTCCTTTCTTCCAATGTCAAGGTCCAGTGGAACGAAACCACTGGGTACTGACCCAGCCACCTTCAGGGCTCCATCCACCCTCAGGTCTGGAGAGGTGTTTGTCCCTTGAAGTGGTATCTAGTCCAGATGGAGCATAGCAGTGGCCAGCCCCTCACACCTTCACAGGTGTTTGCAAGGCCGCCATTCATCTCTCCTGCCATGCCGCAGCCGGGAGTATTCAGTGTTCCAGTGGGAGATGGAGCCAGCGGGTCCTGGGCTGTTGGAAGCTGCCGCCGCCACCATCAGGTCACCAGGAGGGGTTGCCGCTGCCTGGAATTCCGGCTGCTGCTGCCTTGGCACGGCCTGGGGAAATTGGCAGCTCTGCATCTCATCGCTCTCCCTGCGGGAATTAGGCCTAGGTGGGTTTGTTTTTTGTCGTTGTTTTTCTTTTTCTTTCTTTTTTTTTTTTTTTCGTTTGAGACGGAGTCTCTCTCTGTGGTCCAGGCTGGAGTGCAGTGGCGCAATCAATCTCGGCTCACTGCAATCTCCACCTCCCAGGTTCAAGCGATTCTCCTGCTTCAGCCTCCCGAGTAGCTGGGATTACAGGCTCCCGCCACCACCTCTGGCTAATTTTTGTATTTTTAGTAGAGATGGGGTTTCACCCTGTTGGCCAGGCTGGTCTCGAACTCTTGACTTCAGGTGATCCTCCCACCTCAGCCTCCCAAAGTGCTGGGATTATAGGCGTGAACCACTGCGCCAGGTCCAGGCCTAGGTATTTTCAAATCACTTACTGAATGGTTCTGGCAATGGTACTATGCGTGGTAATGCTGATGCTGCTCTATTCAGTGAGCATGGGTCCAACTGCTCCACATAGAAGGGAACAGAGGGATTCTGCGGCCTCCATCAGCAGATGCATGATAATCATTGATTTCATTCTCTGCATCCCCTGATTCTAGGTGTGGGACCTGGAAAAGTTGCTTAACCTTTGTTTCATTGAGATTCTCACATCCAGTGACTACAGTAAGAACGGTTCAAAGAAAAACTGAGGCACATTGCCATGTCTAAGAGTTTATTTGAGCAGAGTGATGCACAAACTGGGATACTCCAAACTGGAATGGTTCATGGCTCCACTGAGGGTACCAGGAGAAGGTTTTTATAGGATGAATGGGAAGCAAGACAAAGAAGATACTGGATTGGTTACAGTGGAGGAGTAGCTTTATTTGGATCATTCCAGTAGAAAGTCCCTAGTTAGAGGTTCATTGGCAGTTTCTGATTGGTTAAGACCTTTTGCACTGAGTTGGGTTTCTGTTTGCTTAGGTAGGAACCCAAGGTATTTGAGCCACCTCAGTCTAATGGCCTTCTAATTAACGATTTTAACAGAAATAATAAGTGTGCATGTAAAACTAGGTCATTACTTAACACACAGGGAATACTCAAAAATCTTAAAAATTATTGACTCCTTTTTAAAAAATTGGGAGGGGTACAGGAGAGAGAAAAAGAAAAAAAAGTCCTATTAAAAAATGTTGCTACTCTTCTAACCAAAATCATTATAATTCAGATTTCTTATTTTGGGATGCAAATCCTCTAATTCTTCAGCCTGTTAGCAGAAATCATTTAGGTAACATAATGGTAGTCTCGTATTGACTTTTGGGTGCCAGGAACTACACATCTACATGAAGAAATTCACTTAATTTAAAACTTTCCATTTCCAGAAAAAGATCAAGTTCACAAAGTCAACAGGATTTAAGACTCTAGTGTCCAATGATTCTTTCTGCATCCAAGGTATTAAACTCATTATGAAAGTCTTGATCCCCTTCTAATACTATCAGTGAAGTTCAAATTTCTATCCTGCAGCCAAGTTCTTCCTGCTGAGAGGCTGAAGTTGATTGAAGTCAGTAAGAGTTGGGTATGTGTAAATGATGGCAGCTTTGCTCTTAGAAAATGTTCCTTCTATTTTCTCTCCACCCAAGAAATTATTTTTCCCCTTTCATCTTAAGACACAGGCACTGAACACTGATGTTCCTTGTCTTCAACCAATCTCGGTGATGAATTTTTGGAAAACTTATTTGGATTCCGAACACATGCACGCTCCATTTTCTGCAGGGTTAAATAATCTGCCAGTTTCCTTTCCTCAGAGAGAACGAGCTAATGAATTACTTCAGATCTCTACCATTTGCTTTACTGTGCTGTGACTTGTCCCATTTTGCTGCTCCACCTCCATTTTTATGAAGTATGCTTTTTGAAGTTTTACAAAATAGTAAAGGATTCAAATTGAATATCACTGAAGAAAGCAGAGAACAACAACAACAAAGAAAAAGGAGTTGGTAAGGAGACATTGTCTCCTTATATAATATAATATATAAATTCAGTTTTAGGTCTTTGTCTTACATCATGTTTCAAGATTTAGAGAAAAGCACAGACAACTCTTCTTAGGATTGTGTCAAAGACAATAATAACAGGTAATTTTCTCCTCATAGGAATGAAAAATTTAAGAAATGTTCTATATTGCTACAGAAGAAACACAATTGAATGAGACTGTACTATTCAAAATAGCCAAAATATAAGAAGCCATGGATAAATTAGTCTGTATTTGGTCCCCATCAGTACAGAGTAGACGTGTGGCTTGTTTGAGAAGGGATAAAGAAGGAGCCAAGAAAGAGGGTAGGCACACCTTTTTAGCTGCATTTGTGAGATCCACAGAATTTTGCAAACACTCAAACTGCAATCACAATATGAAATGTATACTTCGAATGAAGAGTAAATTGTATGAATGTTTTCTTTAGTAATGAATATTCTGCTTTTTAAATTGTTTAATCCTACAGGAAATAGGATTAAAATGTTTCACGTACAGATTAGATCTGGCTTCTGTCATCCCATATATCCCAACCACAGAAAACACATCTTTCTTGATTGATGAGAAATAATATACCACTGTCTTGGAGAAAACAAATTTCTACTGATGTTAAAGAATAAACTACACTACCATATCTCTGTCAAAGCATTGTTGAAGTAGCAATTTGAATAATCATGCCTTATAATCAAATTATATATGTAGTTTAAGACAAAAATCATTCATTCTATTTCTGTTCCATGTCTTGTCATTCCTCTAACGTTCAGCTTACATTTCACCTCTTCCAGGAAGCATTCTATAATTTTCATAACATTGAATGTGATTTTTTTTTCATGTAAAGGCCATACTAATTGATAATGCCTTTTTTAAAGGTATTGTTTATCCATTCATCAATTGATGAACATTTTGGCTGTGTTCACTCTTTGGTTCTTTTGCATAATGCTACTATGAATATTTGTGTGCAAGTTGTTATATAGATATATGTTTTTAATTCTCTTGGGTATGCCAGACATTGTAAGTTTTATATTTTTGAGTAGTGGATATAGATAGATAGATAGATAGATAGATAGATAGATAGATAGATATAGATATAGATATAGATGTATATATATATATGTGTATATATATATATATATATATGTGTGTGTGCATGCCTCTAAACATTTGTATGGGGGCTTTATTCTAGGTGTAGTCAAATTACTTGTACCTAGTATTATTCTTTCTCAACTAGTTTGTAAGCCTTGTTAGAATGAGTCTAGAATAGTTTTAGTGTAGGGATAATTTGGCTAACTACTGAGGCAATATCACCCTGAAGGCCCTTCTAGATGTCTCATACATTTAAGATTTTTCAAATCTGGCTGGTGGGAACATAAATTATTTCTACCTCCGCAGGGAAAGTTCTGCCTACTCCTTTCATTCTTTCTTTTTTCAGCCTCAGAATTTTCCTCACATACATACACAGATCAGTACACAGACAAAGATTCAAGGACACCCCTCTGTCCACAATGTTTTCTACAGTTCCTGGGCAAATTAAGTGCCTTATATATTCTCTTTTGAACTCATTTTGAATTTTTTATGTGATTAGCCAAATATCTTGTCCACCAAAAAAAAAAAAAAATTCCCCAAGTGCCAGAATCACTGAATGTTGTTAAGATAAAAATACTTTTAATTGGGTTTTCCCCTACAGCGAATATAATCTTGTATCAAACATTGACTTTTAAAAATGTTGCCTAGAAGATACACCAAAACAAATGTCTATAGTATTTCTAAAACTCTGGTCTGAATTTAAAATGTCTTTTTTCTGACTGGGCATGGTGGCTCACGCCTGTAATCCCAGCACATTGGGAGGCTGAGGCAGGAGGATCACCTGAGGTCAGGAGTTTGAGACCACCCTGGCCAATATGATGAAACCCTGTTTCTACTAAAATTACAAAAATTAGCTGAGTGTGTTAGTGGGTGCCTGTAATCCCAGATATTCTGGAGGCTGACGTAGGAGAATCACTTGAACCTGGGAGTTGGAGGTTGTAGTGAGCCCAGACAGCGCCACTACACTCCAGGCTAGGCTCTGTCTCATAAATAAATAAATAAATAAATAAATAAATAAATAAATAAATAAATAAAATAAAATAAAATAAAATAAAATAATAAAATAAAATGTTTTTTCTTCCACTAAGTAGCGCTGGAGAAGTTAGAAAGAAACCTTAGGTCCCCTTTGCCTCTCTTGATTACAAACAAAAATAGCTCAAGCCCTTTTCCTTTCCCTATCTCTGCATACACCCTCAAATGTGTAAAAACTTCTTTATCAACCCAAGGTTCCAGAATACTCTTGCCCATTCAAGGGGGTCTTTCTTCCTTTACAGAAAACTATGAGAATTTAAACTGCCCATATCCCCTAGATAAATAATCCCTACACTCTTCCTAGCAAAGATCTAGCCTTACTGCTTCCTTTATTATTGCCAATGCTATGATTTCAAGGAAGATGAAGATTTTTCATTTATTTGGCAGAGTTTTCTCCTGTGTTTCTCTTCCATTGGCATGGCTCTCATGATACCACAGCTTCCTGTTCTATTTCCTAATTAATCAAGCTTTTCTTTTTTCAGCTCATTATTTGCTACCTGAACTTTAAATATTAGAGATCTTGTGGCTCAGTCCTAAATCATTTTTTTGTCACTCTACCTTGTACCCAAGGTAATTTTAACTATGTACCCATTCTCATGGATCCAAGTTCCCTGATGACATTCATGACCCTGTTTAATTCCAGATTAACATGTCCAGACTACCTCTCTTTTCTGAGCCCCGGGGTATATCTGGCAATGCAATATGACATCTTCCTAGGGCATTGTATATCTCTAAAAAGTACAAAATAAAAATCTTTCTCAAAACAAGTTCTCCACAAATGTCCCTCAAATCAGAATGACACTACTCTATATTCAGAAATCTAGGAGTTATCCTTGATATGTATCTCTATTTGCTCTCCCCATCTAACAAATCAAATCTTACTCAGTCAACATTCTATTTACCTCTCAAATCCTTACATTTTTATCCACATCACCAGCAGGACTCTAGTTCTAGCCGCCACTCTCTCATGATGTGACTGCTCTAACAATCTCAAAACAGGTTTTTCTGTGTCTACTTTTTTATCCCTCCAAATCATTCCCTATGCTGCAGCCAGACAGAGTATCTTTTAGACTTTATATCTGCTTATATCATTCTCATGATTATTAGCTCCTCATTCTAATATAGGGGTTGAAACCTTTAAGTTTATTCGTTATTTGTGACCTGGTTGTTGCAGACTTTATCACTTTCACGTTGTGTCATTTTTTTCCCTTGCTCACTCTGTTCCAGCCAAATAGCCTTCCTTAAAGTGACTATTTTCTATTTCAGTTGCTCAAAAGTTCTAAAGTTTGGAGTCCTAGAACCATTTCCTAGGAAAGACTCAGGGTTAAACAAATAGGGCTCCAACCCACCAGCCCTCCCCACCAAACCTGAAAAGCTTATTACCCATGTTGGGGAGCCCAGCCCTGCAATAACAAAAGCATAAATTCTGTCTCTCCCTTCCACTGGAAGCCTCCTTTGGTGGGGTTAGGGAAAGGGAAGAAGACAGGGTTTGTACTTTTTTTCTCTTATACACGAGAAACAAATATTTTCTGGGAAAAAAATGCATTATGGAACAAAAACATCACTAAAAAGCAATCACAGTACATTTTTATAGAAATATTAAAAAAGTTTAAACAATTTGCCAAATTTATCACCATCAACAGTAGGATTTACTGACTATTTTCTGCAGGAATTGTAGTTATTGTTTCTTGAGTGTTTTCTCCCAAACCATGGTAGATTAATTGCATTAATCGCTCCATTTCTTTATCTCTCTCTATATTCAAATCCTTTTACGTGACTTTTTAGTTCCTCTCAGTAAGTAAGTTGTGTCTGTTTTCTCAACCTTTTTATTTTGATTTCCATGTAACTTGCCAATAGAATGTGGCAGTGTGCCATTTCCAAGCCTAGGCCTCAAGAGGGTCTGTGTGTTTCTGTTTGCTCTCTTGTACCTTTGCCATTGTCATTGACATAAGAATACATCTTCTGGAAAATGAGACACAAGTAGAGCATAACCAAGGGGCACCACTCCCTCCTGCCAGGGCTATTCTGGGTCAGCTGACCCCATCAAAGATTGCAAATGCAAGAATGATCCCAGACAAGATCAGCTGAGCCCTTGTCTTATGATTTGTAAACTATGGTAATAAATGATTGTTGTTTGTAGCCACTGAATTTTGCAGTTGTTATGCAGCAACAACTGGCTGATACAATACTGGATGCCATGTTCAGAATTTTACACGTATTATGTCAAATACTCACAATAGCCATATGAGGTAGTTTTCTTTACCATTCTACAGTTGAAGAAACAAGCTCATGGTAACTTTATAAAATACATAGTAAATTAAAATATTTAAGCTGAACCTGTAATCTCTTGTTCCAACAGCCTTCTCTTCCCATACCACTGTGTGAAAAGGTACTGTTCTGAAACCAAATTGCTTACTGTCTTTGTACTTCTACTAATTTTGGTATCCTTGCTCTAGTCCCATTTTCACTGTTGTTACTTAAGGTACCCTTGTAATCATCATCACTGGCTCTGCACAGGAAGAAATATGTCATTTTCTGATGATACACAGATAGCACCTGCATTCAAAGTCTATCTCTTCGATCATTTCACTAAAGTATACTGCTGTATGGAGTAAAGAAATTCCATTGAAATATTAATTTCTATTCAGGGACTCAATGCCTAATTCTTTTTATTTTAAGATCATTAAGCGACCCAGCTTTTGTCCTGAAAGGACTTGCCTAGAGCACAGTTACTACAGTTATATTCATTTATAAGTATTTTCTACTCCATAGCAAGTTAAAAGAAGTAGAGGCAAAAATGCCCTTCCACTTGTTTTCTCTGCTTGTTTCTCTTTGTGTCTTTGTCTCGGTTGGTTTTTCTGCACCTTCTTACCTGACAGGTGTTCAAATATTTTATTTACTCCATATATTTTTATATTAAATTTCCAAACAAGTATCATTCTTCATTACTTGAATTTATTTAGCTTATTTTGCTTTGTACTTTTAGAATTAGAATTTATCTTACTTAATGTAGATATTTGAACAAGAAATCACCAGTAGCCATGTTCCTAATTTGTGAAGAAAAATCAAGTTATCTTACTGTTATGAGCACTTACTAAAAGGCACATCTTCTAAGGCAAAGTAGGGGCTTTAATAAATCACTATCTGTGGCCCCTGCCATGGCCTGTCTTCCACAACAGGGTCATAGTTCACCACGTGGATTCTCCTGCGATTTTCAAAGTTCAAAGTCTGAAATATAGTATATCATTATTTCTGATTTATTAGGGGTTTGTCTCCATTTAATGATGACAGATTCTAAAAGTCTGATTTTTCAGCTATTACAAAATACTAATTAATACATATATTTTTCACATTTGTCGGTGATTCATATTGTATATCAACTCATTAATGACTTCTGTGTATAATAAATCATTTGGGCAGTCAAAAATGTTATACACACTCCCGTAATATTCTGGCACCTCTTTAACCTAAAATTTCCAGCTACTGCATATTTTGTACGCATTTCATCACAATTTGCTGATAGTCATTTAGTCATTCAACAAGCGTATATTTTATAAAATACATAGCTACATGCTCATTACTATGCTGGGCAACAATGGGAGGTAAAGTGAGAATAACAAAGATGGAAAAAAGCAGCACTAAAAATAGAACATTGTTTAATAAATTATGTTGCAAAATACCATGTTGGGGAACTATTGCCAGGGACAGCTCTTCTCCGTTGCAACTGAGAACAGTTATTCTTTCCACCCATTCATTCATGCATTTGTACACACATATATATATATGTACACACATTGGTTAAATCAATACTTGCTGAGCACCTTCTGTGTTTAAGCCTTCTTGTTATTTTAAAACTCACAAAAACTAAATGAATAAAATCCCATTTTTTTAACTTTTAGATTCAGGAATGCATGTACAGGTGTGCTACATAGGTAAACTGTATCATGGGGTTTAGTACAGACATTATTTCATCATCCAGGTAATAAGCATAGTACTAATAGGTAATTTTTCAATCTTCACCCTCCTCCCACCCTCAAGCAGAACTCGGTGTCTGTTGTTCCCTTTTTTGCATCCGTGTGTATTCAATGCTTAACTCTCACTTTTAAGTGAGAACATGTGGTACTTGGTCTTCTGTTCCTGCATTAGTTTACTTAGAACAATTGCCTCCAACTGCATCCATGTTGCTGCAAAGGACATTGATTCATTTTTTTTTTCCTATGGCTGTGTCATATTCCATGGTGTGTATAAGCCAATTTTTTTTTTTTTTTGAGACGGAGTCTTGCTCTGTCGCCCAGGCTGGAGTGCAGTGGAGCGATCTTGGCTCACTGCAAGCTCTGCCTCCCAGGTTCACACCATTCTCCTCCCTCAGCCTCCTGAGTAGCTGGGACTATAGGTGCCCACCACTGCCCCTGGCTAATTTTTTGTGTTTTTTAGTAGAGACTAGGTTTCACCGTGTTAGCCAGGATGGTCTCGATCTCCTGACCTCGTGACCCACCCACCTCAGCCTCCCAAAGTGCTGGGATTACAGGCGTGAGCCACTGCACCCGGCCTGCCAAATTTTCTTTATCCAGTCTACCACTGATGGGCATTTAGGTTGATTCCATGGCTTTGTGAATAGTGCTGTGATGAATACACATATGTATGTCTCTGAGAATATACCCAACAGTGGCATTGCTGGGTCAAATGGTATTTCTGTTTTAAGTTCTTTGAGAAATCTTGAAATGGCTTTCCACAATAGCTGAGCTAATTTACATTCCCACCAGCAGAGTATAAGCATTCCCTTTTCTACATAACCTCACCAGCATCTGTTATTTTTTGACTTTTTGATAATAGCTTTTCTGACTGGTGTGAGATTATATCTCATTGTGGTTTTGATTTACATTTCTCTAATGATTAGTGATGTTGAGCATTTTTTCATATGCTTGTTGGCTGCAGGGATGTCTTCTTTTGAAGTGTCTGTTCAGGTTCTTTGCCTACATTTTAATGGGGTTGTTTTTTACTTGTTAATTTGTTTAACTTCCTTATAGATTCTGGATAGTAGACCTTTGTCAGGTGTATAGTTTGCAAATACTTCCTCTCATTCTGTAGGTTGCCTATTTACCCTGTTGATAGTTTCTTTTGCTGTGTAGAAGCTCTTTAGTTTAATTAGATCCCATTTGTCAATTTTTGTTTTTGTTGCAATGCTTTTAGAGTCATTGCCATGGAATCTTTGACAAGGCCTATGTCCAGAATGGTATTTCTTAGGTTATCTTCCAGGGTTTTTATAGTTTTCTCACATTTAAGCCTTTAATCATTCTTGAGTTGATTTTTCTACGTGGTTTAAAAAGGGATCCAGTTTCAATCTTCTGCATATGGCTCGTCAGTTATCCCAGCATCATTTATTGAATAGAAAGTCCTTTCACCATTGCTTGTTTTTGTCAGCTTTGTTGAGGATCAGATGGTTGTAGGTATGGGTCTTTATTTCTGGGCTCTGTATTCATTTTCATTGGTCTATGTGTCTGTTTTTATACCAGTACCATGCTGTTTTGGTTACTGTAGCCTTGTAGTATAGTTTGAAGTTGGGTAATGTGATGTCTCCAGTTTTGTTCTTTTTGCTTAGGATTGCCTTGGATGTTTGAGCTCCTTTTTGGTTCCATATGAATTAAAAATTTTTTTTCTTATTCTATGAAGATTGCCATTGGTGGTTTAATAGAAATAGCATTGAATCTGTAAATTGCTTTAGACAGAAATTTTATTTTACCCATTTCAGTGTTAGTGAAGCCTGAGCTTAGAGAGGTCAAGTACTTTGTTCAGAGACACAAACCAAGATGCATTTAATATTTAATCCCCTATTGTCTCTACTAGATCATTTGTCTATTCTTTCCAATAAAATATAAAGACATACTTACCTAACTGTATTTCTATGGGTATATAAGAATAAATACATACATTAAACATAAGTTTTTGACTCTATATCCATTAATTTTTAGACACGACTTAGATACAACAAATGCATAAATTTCAAGTGTATAATTCCTTTAATTTTGACAAATATACATGTATAAAACATATATTTAAAATACACATATAATATTAATGTAATAAGTGATAAAGTAATGAAATGGCAACTGATATAATATGTATATATAATCTTTGTACATCACCACAATCAAACTCTGAAACATTCCCATCATGGTTTTTTTGTATTCCTTTTCAGACAGCCTTCCCCCAACCCAAGGCATCCTCTCTCCATCATAGATTAGTTTTGCTAGTGTTCAAATTTTGCATAAATTGATTCAGAAGGAATAAACTCTTTTTCTTTTTTTTAAATTTTATTTTAAGTTCCAGGGTACATGTGAAGGATGTGCAGGTTTGTTACATAGGTAAACGTGTGCCACGGTGATTTACTGCATCTATCTACCTATCACCTAGGTATTAAGCCCAGCATGTATTAGCTATTTTTCTTGATGCTATCACTCCTCTTGCCATCCACCAACAGGCCCCAGTGTGTGTTGTTCCCCTCCCTGTGTCTATGTGTTCACATTGTTCCGCTCCCCCTTATAAGTGAGAACATTCTGTGTTTGATTTTCTGTTCTTGTGTTAGTTTGTTAAAGATAATGGCTTCCATTTCCATCTATATCCCTGTAAAGGACATGACCTAGTTCCCTTTTATGGTTGTATAGTATTCCATGGTGTATATGTACCACATTTTCTTTATCCAGTCTATCACTGATGGGCATTTGGGTTGATTCCAAGTCTTTGATATTGTGAATAGTGCTGCAATGAACATACACATGCATGTATCTTTGTAATAGAATAATTTATATTCCTTTGGGTATATATCCAGTAATGAGATTGCTGGGTCATATGGTATTTCTGGTACTAGGTCTCTGAAGAATCATCGCACTGTCTTTCTCAATGGTCGAACTAATTTACATTCCCACCAGCATTTCTCCGCAGCCTCACCAGCATCTGTTGTTTCTTGACTTTTTAATAATTGCCATTCTGACTGGCGTGAGAGGGTATACCACTATGGTTTTGATTTGCATTTCTCTAATGATGAGTGATGTTGGGCTTTTTTACATATGTTTGTTGGCTGCACAAATGTCTTCTTTAGATAAGTGTCTGTTCATGTCCTTTGCTCACTTTTTAATGGGGTTGTTTTTTTCTTGAAAATTTGTTTAAGTTCCTTGTAGATTCTGGATATTAGACTTTTGTCACATGGATAGATTGCAAAATATTTCTCCCATTTTGTATGTTGTCTGTTCACTCTAATGATCATTTCTTTTGCTGTACAGAAGTTCTTCAGTTTAATTAGATCCCATTTGTCAATTTTTGCTTTTGTTGCAATTACTTTTGACATTTTCATCATGAAATCTTTGCCAATGTCTATGTCCAATAGTATTGCCTAGATTTCCTTCTAGGGTTTTTATAGTTTTTTATTTTACCTTTAAATCTTTAATCTCTCGAGTTAATTTTTGCATAAGGTGTAAGGAAGAGGTCCAGTTTCAATTTTCTGCATATGGCTAGCCAGTTCTCCCACCATCATTTGTCAAATAGGGTATCCTTTCCCCCATTGCTTCCTTTTGTCAGGTTTGTCAAATATCAGATGGTTGCAGGTGTGCGGTCTTATTTCTGAGTTCTCTATTCTGTTCCATTTGTCTATGTGTTTGTTTTTGTATCAGTACCATGCTGTTTTGGTTACTGTAGCCTTGTAGTATAGTTTGAAGTCAGATAGCGTGATGCCTCTAGCTTTGTTCTTTTTGCTTATGATTCTCCTGGCTATACGGGTTCTTTTTTGGTTCCATATGACTTTTAAAATGGTTTTTCTAATCTTGTAAAGATGGTCAATTGTAGTTTAATGGGAATAGCATTGAATCTATAAATTACTTTGGGCAGTATAACCATTTTCACAATATCAATTCTTCCTATCCATGAGGATGTATTGTTTTTCCATTTGTTTGTGTCCTCTCTGATTTCCTTGAGCAGTAGTTTGTAGTTCTCCTTGAAGAGGTCCTACACTTTCCTTGTTAGCTGTATTCCTAGGTATTTTATTCTTTTTGTGATAATTGAAAATGGGAATTCATTCATGATATGATTCTTTGCATGTCTTTTGTTGATGTATACAAATGCTTGTGACTTTTGCACATTGATTTTTTGTATCCTGAGACTTTGCTCTAGTTGCTTATCAGCTTAAGAAGCTCTTGGGCTGAGATGATGGGATTTTATAGATATAGGATAATGTCATCTGCAAACAGAGACAATTTGACTCCTGTCTTTCTATTTGATTCTTTTTATTTCTTTCTCTTGACTGATTGCCCTGTCCAGAACTTCCAATACTATGTTGAGTAGCAGTGGTGAGAGAGGACATCTTTGTCTTGTGGTGGTTTTCAAGGGGAATGCTTCCAGCTTTTTCCCATTTGGTATGATATTGGCTGTGGGTTTGTCATAAATGGCTCTTATTATTTTGAGGTATGTTCCTTCAATACCTAGTTTATTAAGAGTTTTTAACATGAAGGGATGTTGAATTTTATCAAATGCCTTTTCTGTATCTATTGAGATAATTATGTGGTTTTTGTATGTAGTTCTGTTTATGTGATGAATTATGTTTATTCATTTGCATATGTTGAACCAGCATTACATCTCAGGAATGAAGCCAACTTGATCATGGTGGAAAAACTTCTTGATGTGTTGCTGGTTTCAGTTTGCCGGTATTTTATTGAAGATCTTTGCATCGAGGTTCTTCAGGGATATTGGCCTGAAGGTTTTTTTGTTATTGTTGTATCTCTGCCTAATTTTGGTATCAGGATGATGCTGGCCTCATACAATGAGTTAGGGAGCCATTCTTCCTTTTCAATTGTTTGGAATAGTTTCAGAAGAAATAGTACTGGCTCCTCTTTGTACCTCTGGTAGAATTCAGCTCTAAATCCCCCTGATCCTAGGCTTTTTTAAATTGGTAGGCTATTTATTACTGCCTCAATTTCAGAGCTCATTATTGGTCTATTCAGATATTTAACTTCTTCCTAGTTCAGTCTTAGGAGGTGTATGTTTCCAGGAATTTATCCATTTCTTCTAGATTTTCTAGTTTATTTGCATACAGGTCTCTATAATATTCTCTCATAGTTGTTTGTATGTCTGTGGAGACAGTGGTATATTCTCTTTGTCAATTTTTATTGTGTCTATTTGATTCTTCTCTCTTTTCTTGTTTATTAGTCTAGCTAGGGCTGTATCTATTTTACTAATTTTTTCAAAAAAAACACCATCTGGATTTGTTGATTTTGTGAAGGATTGTTCATGTCTCTCTCTCTCCTTCAGTTCTGCTCTAATATTGGTTATTTATTGTCTTCTGCTAACTTTGAGTTTTGTTTGCTGTCACTCCACCCTTCCTTTCCTTCCTCTCTGTGGGTTGCACCAAGCACCTAGTCAGCCCCAGTGAGAGAACCTGAATACTTCAGCTGAAGGTGCAGTATTCACTCACTGTTTCAGTTCTTCTTGGTGGGAGCCGCCAAAGACAGCTGCTTCTAGTCGGCCATCTTGGCCCCTTCCCATAAATTCTTTTGCTATGTGGCTTTGCTGTTCAACTTGATATTTTTGAGATTCATCAGTGTTATTGTATGTGACACAATACAGTAAATTCATTATAATGGCTGACTAGTATTCTATTGTATAAATGTATCACAGTTTGCTTTGTCAATCATCTGTTGTTTAAAATTTTGGTTACTTGTATTTCATGCCATTATAAATAAGGCCAAAATAAACATTTTTATACATTATTTTGTGATATATGTTTTATTTTCTTTGGGTAAAAATGTAAAAGTAGTTGCTGGGTCATAGGTAAGTATATGTTTAACATTATAAGAAAGTGCCAAACAAGTTTTCCAAAGCTATTTTTTTTTTTACTTTTTTCTTTCAAAAGCAATGAATGAATACCTTGATTGTTCTTCATCTTTCCAAATTTTGTTATTTTATTACTTTTCATTTTAGCTTCTCTACTGGGTACTAAGTGGTATCTAATTATAGTTTTAATTTGCATTTCTCTGATCACTAAAGATAAAAATTAGGGTGTTTTAATTTTTATTATTGAGTTGTAAGAAGTTTTTTTTAAATAGATTCTGAATAGGAATTGTTGGTAGGATTTACATATTAAAAATATATTCTCCCAGTTTGTAGCATGCATTAGCATTTTTTGTTGTGTTAAAATATACATAAAAAATTTACAATCTTAACTATTTATATGTACATATATATGTATATACACACTGTGTGGTGAATAACATAGTTTTATACTATTTTTATTTATGTGTGTTTTAAGTTATATAGAAAATAGAAAGAGGAGTTATAAACCAAAATAAAATAATGCTCGCTTTTATATTTCCCATGTGCTTACCCTTACTGAAGATCTTTGTTTCTTCATTCAGCTTTAAATATGTCAACCCACTGCCTTCTGGTCTCTATGTTTTCTGGCGAGAAATAGCTGTTAATCTTTATTGAGAATCCTTTGTATGTGATAACCACTTCTCTTTTTCCATGTTCACAATTTACTCTGTCTTTAGCATTCGACAGTTTGATTATAATATGTTTTGGTGTGGATCTCTTTGAGGTTACCCTCTTTGGAGGTACTTGAGATTCTTGGATTTTTATATCCTTTTCATCAAATTTGGGAAATTTTAAATATTCTTACCTCTTCTTTCTCTCTATCTCCTTCATCTGAGATTCTCATAATACATATGTTAGCCTGTTTGATGGCATTCCACAGGTACGTTATGTTCTGGTTATCTTTCTCCATTCTGTCTTTATTTCTGTTCCTTAGAGCAAGTAATCTACATTTTCCTATATACAAGTTTGCTGATCCTATTTTCTGTTTGCTCAGATCTTTTGAGCCACTCTAGGGAAGTTTTCATTTCAAGATTGTATTTCTCAGCTCCAGAATTTCTGTTTGCTTCTTTTTAATAATTGTAATCATTTTATTAAAATTCCTGTTTCATTTATATATTATTTTCCTGATTCCCTTTAGTTTTTTTGTGAATGTTTAAGACAGTTGTTTTAAATGCAGCAACAGACCAAACAATCCAATTAAAAGAGGTAACAGACTTGAATAAACATTTCTCTAAAGAAGATACAAAAATATGCAAATATCCAATTAGCATATAAAAAGATCCTCAAGATCATTAGTCATTAGAGAAATACAAATTGAAACTACAGTGGTATACCACTTCATGGCTACTAAACTGGCTATACTAAGAAAAAAAAAGGATGTTGTGAAAGAGGAAATAACAAGTGCTGGTGAGAATGTAGAGAAATTGGAATCCTCATACATTACTGGCACAAATATAAAATAGTACAGCTGCTGTGAAAAATAAGTTGGCACTTCCTCAAAAACAAAACAAAAGATTGCAATGTCACCCGGCCATTCCACTCCTAAGTATATACCTGAAAGAAATGAAAATAAGAACTCAAACAAATAACTATATGCAAACATTTGTTGCAGTATTGTTCACAATAACCAAAAGTTGGGAACGATCCAAGTGTCCACCAACAGATAAAAAGATATCCAAAATAAGATATACACATATAATGGAGTATTATTCAGCCATAAAGGTTCTGAATTTCTGAATATGGTTGAGCCTTAAAAACACTATGCTAAGTCAGATAAGCCAGATACAAAATAGCAAATATTATTACTCCAATTACAGGAAGTATCTAGAATAAATAAATTTATAGATACTGAAAATAGATTATAAATTACCATGGGCTAAGGGAGGCAGGAATAGGGAGCTATCACTTAATGAGTACAGAGTTTCTGGGGTGATAAAACATTTTTGGAGATAGTGGTGATGGTTGTACAACAGTGTAAGCATAACTAATGCCACTGAATTATACACTGAAGTGGCTAAAATGGCTAATTTTCTGCTATATATATTATATAACAACTTAAAAATACTTTTTAAAGAGTCAATTGTTTTAAAGTCTTTGTCTGCTAAGTGCAATGTCTAGGCTTCCTCAGAGACAACTTCTAGCAATTTATTTTGCTCCTTAAATGGGCCATACTTTCCAGTTTTTTGGTATGCCTTGTGAATAAAAAAAAAAAAAAAAGCTGTACATTTCAATGTTATAATATGGTAACTCTGGAAATCAGATTCTCCCCCTGATCCATTGTTTTCTGTTTCACTGATTGTTGAAGACTGTAGTTGTCCACTGTTTGTTTAGTAACTTTTTCTTAATTATTTTTGCAGAGACAGTTTTCTTTGCCATGTGTTGTCACTGAAGACTTTGTTTATCAGCTTGTGCTCAGCTAGTGTTTTAACAGAGATTTCCTTGAATGCCAGGAGCCAAAATAAGGGAATGAGAGAGAAAAGGTAAAATAAAAATGTTTCCAGATCTTTGCAGATTGTCTCTGTGCTAGGGCCGTCTTTCAAACTTATCTAAGCTTACATTTTGTGTAGGCATCAGCCTGAGGTAAAATAGGGCCTTCTCAGATGTTTTCTGATCATGTATTATTCCCTATGCTTGCATGCTACAGTGTGTGCATGCATGTCATAGGGCAGAATTCCCCTGTATAGATGGATGCTTTTAAATGCCATAGTTTTTCTAAGACACTGTCTCCCAGGCTTTTCTTCTCTGGCTATAGGATTATCTTTTGTATGTGTCAACTGTAATCTTTCACCCTAGGCAACTATTTGTTGCTCTTCCACTTTCCAGTGCTTTCCAGCAGGCTGAGGTGAAAGTATTACTTGAGGCTGGGAGTTCAAGAAAGCCTGAGCAACACAGCAAGATTCTGTTTCTACAAAAAATAAAAAGTTAACCAGGCAGGGCGGCATGTGCCTGTAGTCCTGACTACTTAGGAAGCTGAGGCAGGACTATTGCTTGAGCCAAGGAGTTTGAGATTACAGTGAGCTATGATCACGTCACTGAAAGCCAGTACCTGGGCAACAGCGCAAGATTCTGTCTGAAAAAAAAAAAATACTTTCCAGCAATGCTTACAGCTTTCGTAGCCCAGATTAGTTTCTAGTTAGGCAAGCAGGTATAACAGAAACAAGTGCCTTGTGTCAGAAATTCAAGTGGTCCAGGCCGGTTAAAACAGGCATACACAATAATTTGTAAATAGCCTGTACTCTGCTACTTGCAGAATCCAGGGCTAAGATCTCACACTGGATTCATGAGTTGTAAACTTCAAGACTGCTACTGGCCTGGGAGGGGAGCAGGAATAAGTAAAAAAGTAAAAACACTGCAAAACATTCCTATCATGTTTAAGTTACTTTCTTCTTGATTCCTCGTTTGCTTGTATGCTATAAAATTTTATCATTTTCCAGAGTTCTGACAAGATTGGTCCTGACAATTTCTGTTTGCTTTTGATGTTTCTAGCGGGGGTGGGAGAGGACAGGAGGTTGGAGCTGCCTACTTTGCCATTTTTCTGATATCACTTTGACACTTTTTTAAAGGTAGAATTGTAGAACCAAGTTACTTATTTTTGTATTGCAATAAAAATGTGCCATAGTCTATTTCCAGGGTTAATGAAAATGAAAACATGTCACAGTTTCCACCTCCTGTTCAAGGTTACAAAAATAAAATATAATATTTTTTGAGCATGTCCAAATAAATTCAGAATTTTTAATATTGATATAATTTAAAAATCTAATTCTGTTTCTATGATCTTTGTATGTTACCCTATAAAAAGAATCATTCATCAAAAGTAACCTACTATAAAAATTGAGATGAATTTATAAAATACTGGAAATTATGTAAAGAAATAATATTTTCAAGTATCAACTGGTGTGTTAAACCATGTATATTTTATGTACACAAAGCCCTCCTTAGTTCCAAAAAGCAAAATCCTCTACCTCCACATCTGTCCTCAGGAAAATTTCCTTACCACAAAAAAACACAAAGGACTACACGACTTAATTTTCAGTATTGAGTTTTAAGATAGAATTTTGATGCTCATGGTAATACATTTGAGAACACAGGGTGTTTTGAGTTACAAATGCCCAGATCTTTTTCATTCTATGGTCCTACTCTGTTAATAGATGTTGCTAAATATGTGACTTCGTTCTTGTCACCTTCTTCCCTTTCTGAAAGTAGATAAAGATCCTTCAAAGAGAGAGAGGGAAAAGGAGAGCTGTAGAGACAGCAAAAATATGAGACTGGGACAGAGCTCTCTGAGCAGGGCTATATGCTGCCTGCCTGTCTAGCCATGCTCTGGACAAGGGGTGTAATACAACCCTAGATAGGTTTGAGGATCTGAGAGTGGAAGACTTGACCTTGCTTCCAAAACTCAGGTTCAGGAGTTTTCACTGAGCCTCTATAGTGAAAGATTTGAAAATGTGGTGTTTGTAAGCTGAGAATGGCCCAGGCAAAATACAAATGTTACCATTAAAGCATGAGAGATCTTATTTTCTTTTATTTCACCAAGAAAGTTGTAGATGAGAAAGAGAAAAAAGAGAGTGAGAAAGAAAGAATACTTCAATGCACCTCAAAGTATCTTTAGCCATAATAAGGGGAGCTACAGGGTAAGTAAACTGGACTATATAGAACTTAATACAGATATCTCAGAGAAATATCACCATGGGAGGTTGCAATGCTCATGAACAAGATAGGAAATTGTGTACACTACAGCAGACGTCACCACAGGCAGACACAAACAGATGAACAGGTAACCCCACCTGACAAAGTAGTAATTTAAATGCCACTCAAGATACAACAAATGAGAAAGAAGAAACAATCATTAACTAATTGCATTTAAACATCACTAGATAACATCTAGCTAGCATAGACCAAAATTATATTGTTTGGTATCAGGCAAAAAAAGCACTTAATAGACTTCAGGTTAGTTTACAGAAATACGATAAACACTCAGAGACTACTATGAACACCTCTATGCATGCAAACTAGAAAATCTGGAAGAAATGGATAAATTCCTGGAAACATGCAACCTCCCAAGATTGAATCAGGAAGAAATTGAATCCCTGAACAGACCAATAATTAGTTCCAAATTGAATCAATAGTAAAAAGCCTTCCAACCAGAAAAAGTCCAGGACCAGACAGATTCTCAGCTGAATCCCACCAGGTGTATAAAGAAAAGCTGGTACCATTCCTATTAAAACCATTCCAAAAAATTGAGGAAGAGGGACTCCTACCTAACTCATTCTATGAGGCCAGCATTATCCTGATACTAAAACCTGGCAGAGACACAACCAAAAATGAAAAAGAAAAGAAAAAGTCCAATATCCTTGACGAACATACATGCGAAAAAAAAAAAAAAACCCTCAACAGAACACTAGCATACTGAATCCAGCAGCACATCAAAAAGCTAATCCACTATAATCAAGTAGGCTTTATACCTGAGATGCAAGGTGGGTTCAACATATGCAAATCAATAAATGTGATTCATCACACAAATGGAACTAAAGACAAAAACCACATTATTATCTCAACAGATGCAGAAAAAGGCTTTCAATTAAATTCAACATTCCTTCATGTTAAAAACCTTCAGCAAACTAGGTATTGAAGGATCATACCCCCAAATAATAAGAGCCATCTAAGACAAACCCACAGCCAACATTATACTGAATGGGCAAAAGCTGGAAGCATTCTCCTTGAAAACCGAAACAAGACAAGGATGCCCATTCTCACCACTCCTATTCAACATAGTACTGGAATTCCTAGCAAGAGCAATCAGGCAAGAGAAAGAAATGAAAGGCATCCAAATTGGAAGAAAGGGAGTCAAATTATCTGTTTGTAGACAATATGATTTTATACCTAGAAACAAGGCTTATACCTAGAAGCCAAGGCTCCTAGATCCAAAAAACAACTTCAGCAAACTTTCAGGATACAAAATCAATGTACAAAAATCAGTAGCATTTGTATACACCAATAACATCCAATCTAAGAGCCAAATCAAAAATGCAATTCCATTCACAATAGTCATAAAAAGAATAAAATACCTAGGAATACAGCTAACTAGGAAAGTAAAAGACCTCTAAAATGAGAATTTAAAAATTCTGCTGAAAGAAATTAGAGATGACACAGACAAATGGAAAAAATATTTCTTGTTCATGGATAGGAAGAATCAATATTGTTAAAATGGCCATAGTGCCCAAAGCAATTTACAGATTCAATGCTCTTCCTATAAAGCTACCAATTTCTTCACAGAATTAAAAAAAACTATTTTAAAATTCATATAAAACTTAAAAAAATCTTAAACAGCTAAGGCAATCCTAAGAAAAAATGACAAAGCAACAGACACATAGACCAATGAAAATAAATAGAAAGCCCAGAAATATAGCCCCACACCTACAACCATCTGATCTTCAACAAAGCTGACAAAAACAAGCAATGGGGAAAGGACTTTCTATTCAATAAATGGTGCGGGGATAACTGGCCAGTCATATGCAGAAGGTTAAAGCTGGACCCCTTTCTTACACCACGTAGAAAAACTTCTACATTGCTGGTGGGAATGTAAACTAGTACAACCACTGTGTAAAACGGTGTGGAGACTCCTTAAAGTACTAAAAGCAGAATTACCATTTGATCCAGCAATTCCACTACTGGGTATCTACCTAGAGGAAGAGAAGTTTGGTTTTCCATTCTGAGTTACTGCACTTAGAATAATAGTCTCAATTTCCATCCAGGTTGCTGCGAATGCCATTAATTCATTCCTTTTTGTGGCTGAGTAGTATTTAATTACACACACACACACACACATATATGTATATATGTGTGTGTATATATGTATATACATATATGTGTGTGTGTGTGTGTGTATATATATATATATGTATATAACCAAACATCATATGTTCTCACTTACAAGTAAGAGCTAAACTGTGAGAATGCAAAAGCATAAGAATGATACAGTGGACTTTGGGGATTTGGGGAAAAAGTGGGAGGGGGTGAGAGATAAAGACTACAAATTGGGTTCAGTATATACTGCTCGGGTGATGGGTGCACCAAAATCTCACAAATCATCACTAAAGAACTTACTCATGTAACCAACTGCTACCTGTTCCCCAAAAACATATGGAAATAAAAAAGTTTTAAATATAATAATAATTTACATGCAAAAAAGAAAAATTAACTCAAGAATGATTAAAGGCTTAAATGTAAAACTTAAAGCTATACAAACCCTAGAAGTTAACCTAGGAAATATCATTTTAGACACAGGCCCCAGCAAAGATTTCATGACAAAGACTCCAAAAGCAATTGCAACAAAAACAAAACTTGACAAATGGGATCTGATTAAACTAAAGAGCTTCTGTACAGCAAAAGAAACTATCAACCAAGTAAACAGACAACCTATAGAATGAGAGAAAATATTTGCTATCTATACATCTGACAAAGGTCTAATATTCAGGATCTATAAGGAAGTTAAACAAATTCACAAGTAGAAAACAAACAACCCCATTAAAAAGTGGGCAAAACATACAAACAGACATTTTTCAAAAGAAGACATAGACACAGCCAACAAACATATTAAAAAATGCTCAACCTCACAAATCATTAGAGAAATGCAAATCAAAACCATAATGAGTTACTATGTCACACCAGTCAGAACAGCCATTATTAACTGTCAAAAAACTAACAAATGCTGGTGAGGTTGTGGAGAAAAGAGAATACTTATCCACTGCTACTGGGAATGTAAATTAGCTCAGTCATTCTGGAAAGCAGTGTGGCGATTTCTCAAATAACCTAAACCAGAAGTACCATTTGACCCAGCAATACCATTATTGGGTATATTCTCAAATGAATACTAATTGTTCTACCATAAAGACATGCACATGTATGTTCACTGCAGCAGTATTCACAATAGTAAAGTCATGGAATCAACCTAATTGTCAATCAACGGTAGACTGCATGAAGAAAATGCGGTACTTATACACCATGGAATACTACAGAGCCCCAAACCCCGAAACAAGATAATGTCCTTTGAGTAACACTGATGGAGCTAGAGGCCATAATCCTAAGCAAACTAGCGCAGGAACAGAATCTGCATGTTCTCACTTGTAAATGGGAACTAAACATTGAGTACACAAGGACAAACAGAAGGGAACAACAAACACCGGGCCCTACTCGAGGATGGAGGGCAGGAGGAGGGACAGAGATGGAAAAATCTACCTATCCGGTACAATGCTTACCACCAGAGTGACAAAATAGTCTGTACAGCAAACTCCTGTGATACACAATTTACCTATATAACCACCCTGAATATATACCCTAAATAAAAACTTAAAAAATAATAATCATTACTTTTTGCATAGCTGGGTGCATGGCATATAATCATGCACATTTTTGAACGAGAAAATTTTAAAAGTTGTCTACTCTAAACTTTTTTCATTTTGCCAATAAAAAGGAAAAGGTCGGGTGTGGTTAACAGACTTGCACAGACTCATCCATATAATTAGTGGCAGAGTCAGAACCACGATTCAGTGTCTTTTCTAGTTAAGGCATCTGTCTGCTAGATGAGACTGCCTCGCTGTCACTATAAAAGCTGTATTAGTATTTCTGTGATACAAATTATTATTTCAAACTTCCATGTGAATTGGGAAAATACTTATGTAGGGTTGACAGTTGTGCAGCTATAGCTTATCAGTTTATTATTCTCGCTTTCAATGAATATTAAAAATATATCATATGAATATGATAAGTAATTTTGCTTCAGGGTTTGCTAGAGGCAAGAAAATGAAACTTTTATTATTAATACTCCTCAAAACAATAGTGAAATCAATCTTCAAATATTTGATCACAAACCTGTCTAATACATACTTAAAAATTAAGTGGAAACCCAATCTACAGTAAATCCGGCTAAGTTTATTTTGACTAATACAAGCATATTGCAACTAGAAAGAAATTTTAGCAGTTTTTAGACATATTTTTCAATCTTTGATTTTTTATATAAATGCTTTTACATATGCTATTTCAGAGCTTTGTTATTAAACTGGTTGCTCTAGGTAATACTAAAAATCCTTTGTACCCTAATCTTTTCTTACAATTTTATTTCTTTTATCATGAAAGCAGAAGTACAAATATGTGCAAAATGTCTTGTAAATTTTGTTGAGGTAATTTATATTTCATGTCATGCTAATTTTGTTAAGATTACTGATCTAGTACACTTCATTTTTTAAAATCAAATCATTTTATTACTTTTAAGCTTCATACATTCTCAGATTTGTAGCCTTTATATGCTTTTTTTTCTAGAATTGATAAATGGATTTTTTTTAATATAATCATTATCATTTAATTTAACTGTTTTGGAACATTCCTACATATTCCAAATAGTCATCTTCTTATTCTACTAATCACAGAACCAAAAATAACATTGAAGGACATTAGTGTTTGCAAAGGGTTTTCATAAACATTAAAGCATTTGATATTTAAAACAACACAGTGAGATATAAATCATTAGAAAATAAGGGTATATTAATAATAGAGTAGTATTGGTAGGAAAGTTTATCATTCCCATTTTAATGATGAATTTTTAAAAAACCTCAGAGAGTTTAAATTGCCCAAGATAAAAGAGGTAGTATTCCTTCTATATCTTAAGTGTTAATAGAGGATTTTATTGTAGAATAAAATCATTTTTAGTAAAAACTTTAAAAATATTTTATAAATGTAAAGTACTAAAATGTACGATGGTGTTATCTAATCATAAGTAGAGAGAAAAACAATATGGACTTAACCATATTACCCTGAAGATGTGTGAAGAGCTCTCTGACTCCTGCTGAGGAACTAAGAGAAGTAGTAACAGAAATAAAAGAGAAGTTAGACATGTTCTGCCATCCCTTTATTTTGTCATTAGAGTGACTTGGTGATATTAGGTGCTAATGAGAAAAATGAAGTCAATATTCTGAATTCAGACTCCTGGGGGTCGTGTTCTAAAGTATACACTAAGATATATGTCTATACAGACAGTCACTATGGCCAATTGGTTGGATGTGAGTTTATTTAACTTTTCTATACCTTCAGTGTGTTTTGAAAGAAGCTGGTATGAGTGGGTTGCTAAGTAAGATGTAGTGAGACATGGTAGGCCAAGGCTCCCCTTGCTGAAAAAAAAACATCATGAAAAACAAAAATCAATTTTATTTTAAAGATAGAAGAGAGCTCTGAAAGCAATAAGGAGTCAATGAACTAAAATTCAAGAAAAGGAAGATTAAATGTGATGAATAAAGAGTATAAGCTGTCTTTCATGAAGCCAAGTCAGACTTTGTGAGCAGATGAGTTAGGAAAAAACTTGGTTTTCAAAAGTGTTCCACTTCATAATTACACATAAGAGAATGTAGAGCTATATTATATTTTCATTGTTGTCATTGTTTGCCCTCACTAAAATGTAAGCTCTGTGAGGGCAGGGACTTCTGAAGTTTGAATTGCTGTAGCACCATATCCTAGAACATTTCACAGCTCATAAGAAACTCTCAATCAATGAATAAATGATGGTTAAAAAAAGATTCCCGGAGCTGGAGGTCATTATTCTTAGCAAACTAACACAGGAATGGAAAACCAAATACCACATGTCCTCACTTATAAGTGGGAGCTAAATAATAGGAACACATGGACACATAGAGGGGAACAACACACACTGGGGCCTACCTGAGGTGGAGGGTGGGAGGAGGGAGAGGATCAGGAAAAATAACTGATAGGTACTAGGCTTAATACCTGGGTGATGAAATAATCTGTACAACAAACCCCATGAAACAAGTTTATCTAACAAACCTACACAAGTACCCTTGAACTTAAAATAAAAGTTAAAAAAAACAAGGATTCCCAGAGAGAAAAATGGAGCTCCTTTGTCAGCCACAAAATAAATCTGAGTACTGTTTATCTACTTTACTAGTACTGAGTCATGAGTAGCTGAGGACTTGTCAGCTCAGCACATTTAAAAAGTCAAGCATACAGATATATTGAAAGAAGAACAACTGCAAAAGTTTCATGTAGATGGAGGCTGGAGAATTATGATAAAATGAAATTTCTTACATTTCCTATTTGAAAAGGGAGAATAATCATCCTCATGGATGATCCCTATAAATGCTCTTCATTTAAAATGCAGTACTTCTTTTTAGGGACTGGCAGTTTATGAAGAGAATACTGTGAATTGCTTGTGTGGAAAAAACGCAAGGAACAGGAGTCATCCCAATACACAAATATATGCTAACAACTCACCTGATAAGAGAAAATGGGAAAGTATGTAAAATTTAATTGAATCCATTTAAAAGACATTTCTTAATAGTCTCAGCTTTTCATGATATTGCAATTTTGTGTTGAATGAGATCTTGGGAAGTCACTTAGGACTTATGCTTAAATCACGTGCAGTAAGGAAAGGAATCATCATAGGAATCAATTTTTAAAATAAGCATTTAAATGAGCCCAATTTCTAAAATGACAGAAATCGACAAGTCTCCATTTCACCTTATGATATGACAGAGTGTACAAGAACCATTGGCAAGATAAATAAATGAAGACAATATCCCTGAGCTTATAGGATTTTGTAAGAAGCAAAAGTAATATGAGAACATGATCAGCTGATGGCTTAGAGTAATGGCAGCATATTCTTTCAGTAATAAGAAGTGAGACAGGAAAAATATCAGTGTGATCTGGTAAAGAATCCTTGGGACTTTATTAGAACCTTCAGCGATGTTCAGGATGTGGACGAGTTGAAGCTACGGAGAATAAAACTTCCCAATGAAGAGAAAATTATGTGCAAATACTTTTCAATGGAATCAAGCATGACAGACTGCAGTAGCCCATGCGAAAAGCAGCCCTCAACTTTGGTTTCAGGTGTGGCTATTGTGGGAAAAAATTACTCGAAATTAAGCACTTTGATCTTCAGATTCTTGCCAGGGATTGTCACAACTCTTTGCACATGCTTAACACTCTTGCTGAGTAAGTGGCTTCTAACTGAACAATAAGTTTCCTTGTGAAATAGAAAATTATGTAAGACTGTGTTATTTAATAAATGTATCATTTAATAAATGATATATTCTATTTGCCAATATAACCTTTTTCTGACCACACTGGCTTTGAGGAGAATCAATGGAGAAAAGATACATGATAGCTTTGAGTCGTGATTTAAATAGCATCTTCCTCATGATGCTGCCCATATTTGCAAATATCACCCATTGTTTATGAGTATATCGCCAGTGCCTTATAGTCCTCCATACACCCCTTTACTTATAAAACCCAAGCAGAAAGCATGTGATGGGAAAGAAGCAGTGCAGTGTAGACATAAAGAGTGTGGCCTTTGAAATTTGACCAGCATGCTCCTGCCCAAACAATACTCATTGAATAGTAATCATAAGCAGATGATCTACTTCCTCAAAGCCTTAACATGTCTTATATAACAATTGTAGATAAAGATAATAAAGCACTCAGGACAGAGTCTGGTGTATAATATAAATTTAATGTGTGTCAGCTGTTAGTATCATCACTGTTAATCACTGTTAATTGACTCTTTTGCCAGTGTTGTTCAAGAAAATAATGTGTAATGATCTATAAATATTTTAAATTTCATTAGCAGCCTTAAAAGTATTACTGATAGAACTGTAATCATTTTGGCATTTTAATAAATAACACAGTCTTACATAATTTTCTATTTCACAAGGAAACTTATTTTGAAATTAAATATTTGTAATTCTACTATATAGGGCAAAGATAAATTAATCCCTGCTGCAACCCCTTGTCCTGTAGCATGCTGCATGAAGTTGCCTATATGCAAAGCAGCTTGTTCACAAATTGATCTCTGCAGATCAGTACATCTGCTTTGTGACTTATCAATGCTCATGGCGAACCTTGAGAACTGTGTTTATTTTAGAGCAAATGGATAGTGTGAAGAAATCAGTGGATATTGCTGCAAATGCTCATTTCCTTACATTGTATCCTGCTGAAATTTCTTAAAGATTATTGAGACATGGCCAAACACAATGGTTCAGGCCTATAATCCCAGCACTTTGGGAGGCTGAGGCAGGTGGATCACTTGAGGTCAGGAGTTCAAGAAAAGCCTGGCCAACATGGTGAAACCCCATCTCTACTCAAAATACAAAAATTAGCCAGGCGTGTTGGCACACACCTGTAATCACAGCTACTGGGGAGGCTGAGGCAGGAGAGTCACTTGAACTGGGAAGGCAAAGGTTACAGTGAGCCGAGATCATGCCACTGCACTCCAGCACTCCAGCCTAGGCAACAAGAGTGAAGCTCTGTCTCAAAAAAAACAACAACAACAACAACAACAAAAAAAACAAAAACAAAAACAAAAAAAAACAAAACAAGGTTCTCAGGATGTTTCTCTTTTAATAAGCATTTTCATTTTTTGGGATATTTGGATATCAGATCCAATTTGACCTTTCTAGTAGGAAAGTATGATACTTTCAGAACTTGACAATAATGCCAAATTCTGGAACTTGAACACAGATTTCTTAGAATATCAACTTTGACACCATAATATGTAGAATATGACTTGCCCAATAAGAAAGAAACAACCTTATAGATGGACTACAGTTTCAGCTGCCAAAGACAAAGTGTGTCTTGCCCTACCAGCAGCCCTGTATACCTCTATTGACCTACAGTCCTTTGAAGTCAACAATATATATGTTATACAGCCCACATTTTGTTAGAAAATCCCAATTACACATATCAAATTTTTAACATAAATCCATCAATTTTTATGTGCTGGAGTGTTAAATAGAAAATAAATTTTAATTACATAGACAATAGAGATCACATTATATTCTACCCCATCGTGTAACCCACAAGGTTATGTCTCAAGAAGCATGCAAGAATTTCTTGTCACAGTTATTAAGAGAAGTAGGATTTATGTGTGTGGGACAACTGGTTTCTAAAGCCTTCAATTATTTTTAAACATATTGATAGGAAAGAAAAATTAGTACTTATAGGCTTCTTTTAATCTGTAACCAATGCCATTACCATATATACTACTATGATGAACCATTGCAAGATTTCCCCTTAGTTAACATTGACCATGCCAGGATCACCCATAGAAAAATATAACAACAAATTAGGAAGAATTATATGTTTTCCATTGGATTTATATTGCTAATCCTTTTCCAAAAAGGCTCTGTGGCAACTAGCTTTCAATATAAAGAGAAGCTTTATCTGATTCTTTTTATTAGAACTTTACAATAAACTTATGAATGTATGTATTATTATTGTGATAAGTTTTTGATGGAGGAAATTGTCTTGGTGTGGTTGAGTGACGAGACTAAGACCATATGGGACCTCTTGGTCACAGCCAGGACCAATTAGTATATTCCAGATGCTGCATTCTCTCAACTTCAGCACACTGCCTCCTGCAAGCAGGCAGAAGCAGAGATTTTTAAGAGATACAAAATAGCTTTTCTTATAGAATTAAGTTTATCACCAGACTGCTCAGAATTATCAAAAATTTGAGACCATGCTAAATTTGTAGGTATGTTTACTCACAAGCCTTAGACCTTACCTTGTTCTAGGTCTCAGTGTCAGTACAGGACAGCTGGCACCCAAACTCCTCCACTACAGCAGCAAAACCTGCTTTTGAACAACTCAGAAGCCCATATGATCCTGGCATGAACCAAGAGTACCAATCTATCCAAGTAGAACAAATAGACCCCTATAAAGTGGAGTTCTTCATCTAGTGACTTTAGATAAGAATTAGATTTCTTCTACCTTTTTTCAGCCATAGTAGTATTACCATTAGTGACATTAAATGCCTCAAAACAGTCTGAAAGACCAAAGGCAGAAAAATAATATGTATCACTTTTAACAATAATAATTAAGACGGGGCTGGTGATTACACTCAGGCACAAGAAGCTAGTGTCCTTGATGATTCTGAATAGATTATTTCAGAGAAGCTGTGGGTATAAATTTTTGTTCTTTAATTTACCATCATTGAAGGCTCAGGAATTTCCCCACAATATAGAGTTAACATTCTTCATTAAAATTATAAATAGAGGAAACATTCACTAAGATAGACCACATTCTGGGCCACACCTTAACAAATTTATAGGAATAGAAATCATAAAATGTCTGCTTTCAGACCGCAGTGGAATTTAACCAGAAATAAGTAACAGAAAGATAACTTGAAAATATCAAAATGTGTGGCAGCTACACAACACACTTCTAAATAACATATAAGTCAAAGAAGAAATCTCAAGAGACATGTAAACATATTTTGAACTAAATTAAAATGAAAATACAACTCATCAAAATTTGTGGGATGCAGTAAAAGCAGTAATTACAAAGAAATTTAAGTCATCGAATGCACATATTAAAAAAGAAGAAAGACCTAAAATCAACAATCTAATTTTCCAGTTTAAGAAACTAGAAAAAGATCAAATTAAATCCAAAGTAATCAAAAGAAAAGAAAAAAAATAAGAATTAGAGCAGAAATCAATGAAAGTGCAAACAAAATCAATAGAGAAAATCAACGAAACCAAACGGTGGTTCTTTGAAAAGATCAATAAAATCAACAAGATTCGAGCCAGGTAAATATGAAAAAGAGAGCAAGAACACAAATCACTAATATTAGAAATGGAATAGGGGACATTACTACAGATCCTATGGACATTAAAAAGGTAATAAGGTAATAATGTGAACAACTCTATGCCCATAAGTGTGATAACAAAGATTAAGTGAATCAATTCCTTAAAAGGCACAATTTGTCAAAATTCACAGAAGAGATGGGCAATCTGAATAGGCCTAGATCTAGTAAAGTAATTTAATTAATAATTAATAACCTTACAAAAACAAAGCATTCGTCCCAGACAGGTTCACTAGTGAATGCTATCCAACATTTTAGAAAGAAATTATGCGAATATTCTATAATCTCCTTTAGAAGACAGAAGAGGAAATACTTGCTAACTCATTCTATGATGTCAGCTTTACCCTAATATCAAAATTAGACAAAGACATTAGAAGAAAAGAAAACTAAAGACAATATTTCTCATGAACATAGATGCAAAAATCCTCAACAGACTACTAGCAAAGTTAATTCAACTACATATAAAAATATTTATACACCACAACCGAGTTGGTTTATCCCAGGTAAGCAAAACTGGTTCAACATTCAAAAATTGTACATGTAATCCATTATATCAAGAGGTTAAAAAGAAAAATCACATAATTATACCAATAGATGCAGAAAAAACATTTGAAAAAATCCAATGCCCAATCATGATAGAAACTGTCTGTAAACTAGGACTAGAGGAAAATTTTTCTACTTGAAAAACAATATCTACAAAAAACCTACAACTAACATCACACCTAATGGTAAGAAATTTGAAGATTTCCTACTTAGATCAAGAACAAGGCAAGGATGTGTCTTCTTACCTTCCTTTCCAATATTATACTGGAAGTACTAGCAAATACAATAAGACAAGAAAAAAATAAAAGGTATACATACTGGGAAGGAAGAAATAAAACTGTCTTTATTCACAGATAACATGATCATCTCTATAGAAAATCTGAAAGAATTAACAGAATAACTTGTGGAACAGGTGATTATAACAAGTTTCTGGATACAAGGTTAATGTAGAAAAAATCAATTCCTTACCTAAATATTAGCAAGGAAAAACTGCAATTTGGATTTAGAAACAAAATACCATTCCCATTAGCACCTCCAAAAATGTAATACTTAGGTATAAATCAAACAAAATATGTACAAGATCAATATGAGGAAAAGTAAAAAATTCTGATGAAGAAATCAAATAAGTAACTATATCAAGATATATTCCATACTCATAAATAGGAAAATTCAATATCAAAATCCTAGTTCTTCCCAACTTGGTCTATTTTATAGATTCAATGTGATCCCAATTGAAATCACAGCAAGATGCTTTGTGGATATTGACAAACTGATTCTAAAGTTTATGTGGAGAAGGAAAAGACCCAGACTAATCAACACAATACTAAAGAGGAGAACAAGTTAGACGACTGACATGATCTCACTTTAAAATGACGTGGTAATAAAGACCATGTGGTGTTGGCGAAAGAACAAACAGATCAATGGAACAGAATAGACAGCCCAGAAGTAGATTCACATAAATAACAACTGACCTCGGACAAAGGAGCAAAGGCAGTACAATGGAGCAAAGATAGTTTTCTCAATAAATGGTGCTAAAACAACTGAATATTCACATGCAAAAGTATAAATCTAGCCACAGACCTTACACTCTTCACAAAAATTAATTCAAAATGGATCATAAACCTAAATGTAAAATGCAAAACTATAAAACTTCTAGAAGATAACATAGGAGAAATTCTACTTGACTTCAGATATGATGACTAAAGAAATACTTGAGAAGTTGGACTTCATTAAAATTAAAAACATCTGCTCTGCAAAAGACAATGTCAAGACAATGAGAATACAGGCCACAGAATAGGATAGAAAAATTTCAAAACACACATCTGATTAAAAAACATCAAAATATACAAAGAATTTTAAAATTTAACACTGGGAAAACAAATAACCCAATTTTAAAAATAGGTCAAAGATCTTAATATACACCTCACCCAAGAAGATATATAACTAGCAAACAAGCATATGAAAACATGCTTCACATAATACGTCATCAAGAAATGCAAATTTAAACAACCATGAGACACCACTATACATCAACTAGAATGACCACAATCTGGAACACTGACAACACCAAATGCTGGTGAGAATGTGGAGCAGCAGAAACTCATTCACTGCTGGTGGGAATACAAAATGGTACAAGCACTTTGCAAGACCATTTCACAGTTTCTTACAAAATTAAATATAGTCTTCTGTATGATCCATCAATTGAGCTCCTTGGTATCTACCCAAGGAGTTAAAAACACATGTCCATGCAAAAATCTGCACATGGATGTTGATGGTAGGTGTATTCATAATTGCCATAACTTGGAAATGGCCAAGATGTCCTTCAGTAGATGAATGGATTAATAAACTTCAGTACATTCAGATAATATAATATTATTCCATGCTAAAAATAAATGAACAGGTGGCTGTGAGACTAAAACACAAGTGAGCCACTCTCCCCACACTTTCTTGCCCATGCTGTGTACCTGAGCAGTACTCTGCACTATGACAAAATAAAATGTCACAAATCAATGTCAACCTTGAAAATAAATGGCCCAAAAACTCCACTGAAAAGACATAGAGTGGCAAATTGGATAAAATAAGAAGGCTCATCTTCCTGCTGTCTTCAAGAGATCCATCTCACATGTAATGACATCCACAGGCTCAAAGTAAAGGAATGGAGAAAGATCTATCATGCAAATGAAAAACAAGGACTGGTCTTTAATTGAGCTCTGAAAAGAGCAGTGGTTGCTATTCTTATATCAGATAATATAGATGTAAACTAGCAACAGTGAAAAAGGACAAAAAAGGACACTACATAATTATAAAGGGTTTAATTCAACAAGAAGGCTTAACCATCCTAAGTGTGTAAATACCCAACATTGAAAGATCCAGATATATAACACAATTACTTCTAGACATTAAAAAATACTCCTTGACAGCCACACAATAATAGAAGGGGATTCAAGACCCCACTGATAGCACTAGACAGATCATTGAGGCAGAAAACCAACAAACAAACTCTGGACTTAAATTTGACACTTGACCAATTAGGCCTAGTAAAAATCTACAGAATAATACACCCATCAACCACAAAATATATATTCTTCATATCTGCACATGAAACATACTCTAAGATTGGCCACATCCTCAGTCACAAAGCAAGTCTCAATAAATTCAAAAACACCATAATCATACCAAGTATTTTTTCAGCCAACAGTGGAATAAAAATACAAATCAATTCCAAGAAGAACTCTCAAAACTACACAAATACATTGAAGCTAAACAATTTGCTCCTGAATGATTCCTATGTAAACATAAAATCAAGGCAGAAATAAAAAAAATATTTGAAACAAATGAAAACAGAGACACAACATAGCAAAACCTCTGGGATGTGGCAAAAGCAGTGTTAAGAGGAAAGTTTATAGCTCTAAATGCCAGTATCAAGAAGACAAAAAGATCTCAAATTAACAACCTAATCTTACACATAAGCAAGCTAGAAAAACATAAACAAACTAAACCCAACAGTAGCAGAAGAAAATAAATCACTCAAATTGGAGCAGAACTAAATGAAATTGAGACCCAAAAATTCATACAAAGGATCAATGAAACAAAAAGTTGGTTTGTTGAAAGAATAAACAAGATTTATTGACCACCAGCAAATTAAAAAAGAAAAAAACAGAGAAGATCCAAATAAACACAATCAGAAATGACAAAAGTGACATCAAAACTGATTCCCCAGAAATACAAAAGTTTCCCAGACACTACTGTGAACACCTCTATGCACACAAGCTAGAAAATCTAAAGGAAATGGATAAAATTTTGGAAACACACAATCTTCTAAGATTGAACCAGGAAGAAACAGAAATCATGAGCATACCAATAACAAGTAATGAAACTGAATCAGTAATTTTAAAAACCTACTATCCAGAAAAAGCCCTGGACCAGATAGAATCACAGCAAAATTCTACCACACATACAAAGAGTTGGTACCAATCCTAAAGAAACTATTTAAAAAAAACAAAGAGAGATGTTCTCTCTTCATTCTAGGAAACCAGTATCATCCTGATACCAAAAATCTACCAAAGACACAAGAAAAAAAGAAAACTGCAGGCCATTATTCCTCATGAACATAGATGCAAAAATCCTGAACAAAATATGAGCAAACAGAATGCCACAGCACGTTAAAAAGTTAATTCACCATGAAATGGGCTTTATTCCTGGGATGCAAGGATGATTCAACATACACAAATCAATAAATGTGATTCACCACATAGATAAAATTAAAAACAAAAATCATAGATCATCTCAATAGAAACAGAAAAAGCATTCAATGAAATCTAACATCCTTCCATGAGAAAAACCCTCAACAAACGAAATGTCGAAAAACCCCATCTCAAAATAATAAGAGCCATCTATGACAAACCCACAGCCAACTTAATACACATCAGGCAAAAGCTAGAAGCATTTCCCCTAAGAACAGTAATAAGACCACCTTCACTATAGAATAGGATGTACACTCCTAGTCAACATAGTACTGAAAGACATAGCCAGAGCAGTCAGGCAAGAGGAAGAAATAAAAGGCATTCAAACAGGAAAAGAAAAAGTCAAATTATCTCTCTTCACAAATGATGTAATTCTATACCTAGAAATTCTTAAAGATTCTGCCAAAGCACCTCTAGTCCTGATAATTAACTGCAGCAAAGTCTCAGTACACAAAATTAATATATAAAAATCAGTAGGATTTTAACCATATTCAGAAGAATGAAACTGGGCCCCTCCCTCTCACCATATACAAACATTAACAAGATGAATTAAAGACTTAAATAATGGGAGAAAATATTTTCAAACTATGCATCTGAAAAAGAACTAATGTCTAGAATATATAAGGAACCTAAGCAATTCAACAGGCATAAAGCAAATCACCCCATTAAAAAATGGCCAAAAGACATAAAAAGACACTTCTCAAAAGAAAACATACAAGTGGCCAACAAAAATATTAAAAAATGCTCCATATCATTAATCATCAGAGAAATGCAAATCAAAACCACAAGGAGATACCATCTCATACCAATCAGAATGGCTATCATTAAAAAGTCAAAAAGTAATAGATGTTGGTGAGGCCGTAGAGAAAAGGGAATGCTTATATGCTGTTTGTGGGAATGTAAATTAGTTCAGCTACTGTGGGAAGCAGTTTGGAGATTTCTCAGAGAACTGAGTTGGACTACCATTTGACCCAGCAATCTCATTACTATTTGCCCAAGGAAAAATAAGTCATTCTACCAAAAAGACACATGCACTCATATGTTTATCACAGCATTATTCACAACAACAAAGACATGGAATCCACCTAGGTGCCCATCAACAGTGCACTAGATAAAGAAAATTTGGTGTGTGTACATCATGGAATGCTATACAGCTATAAAAAATGAAACCATGTCCTTTGCAGCAACGTGGATATAGCTAGAGGTCATAATCCTAAGAAAATAAACACAAGAACAGAAAACCAAATACCACATGTTCTCACTTATAAGTGGAAGCTAAATATTGGGTACACATGGATATAAAAATGGGAATAAAAGACACCATGGAATATAAGAGGGGAAAGTGTGGAGGAGGGTAAGGGTTTAAAAACTGACTATTGGATAATATGTTCGCTACCTGTGTGATGAGTTCAATCATACGCCAATCCTCAGTATCATGCAACATGTCTTTGTAACACAGTTGAATGTGTACCCTCTGAATCTAAAATAATTTTTTAAATAAATTAACTATCAAGCAATGAAAACACATGAAGGAAAATTAAACGTACATTACTAAGTGAAAAATGCTAACCTGAAAATGCTACCTACTGTATGATTTCAACTATGTGATATTCTGGAAAAGATAAAACTATGGAAACTGTAAAAAGTTGCCAAAGTTTGCCAAGGGTTAGAGCAGAGAGGGAAAAAAAAGGCAGAGCACAGAGCATTTTTAGGATAGTGAACTGTCATGTTTTATGATATTATAATGGTAAATACATGTCATTATACATTTGTCCAAACTCATGGAATGTAAAATATGAAAAGTGAACCCAAAATATATACTGTGGACTCTGCATGATTGCGATGTGTCAATGCAGGTTCATCAATCGTTACAAATGCACCACTCTCGTAAGAAATGTTAATAACAGGAGAGGCAATGCATTTGTGTGGCTGGGAGGGATATGGGAAATCTCCATACCTTCATCTTAATTTTGCTGTGAACCTAAAACTGCTTGTAAAGATAGTCTTATTTTTAAAAATTATAAATAGACTACATGGATTTGGATTAGAGAAAACCACGCTTAGTTGAATAATGAGCCAGCATATAAAGCAAAAGAAACTTGCACCAACTTCTGAGGATAAATCATGAGTGGAAACAAATTAGTTTGGGAAAACATAAGGAAGCTAAAACTTCATCTCTTCAGAAGATACTTCTTTGTCCAAAGTCATATTACTAGGGCTAAATCTTTTCATTGTCAAGGAGTCTTCTAAACTGTCCTCTAACCTAAAAGCTCTCATTTAAAAAAACCTGTGTGGGTATGCAATGTCAGACAGACCTAGATTCAAAATAGAAATCTCTAATTTCCCAACTTGGACAAGTTACCTAACTGTACTGTGTCTCTTTTTTCCATCTGAAAATGAGAATAAAAGTTGTTAGCTTTCAATATTCTTGTGTTTATCATGCCCAACATATGGTGAAGGCTTGGCAAATAGCAGTTCTGACATTCTACCAAGTCACAGAGAAAACATTATTTGGTCTATAATTCACTGTCAAAGTTGTAGGGTAAACATTAGATAAGATTTATTCTTGAGAATAATAAATATAATTGAAAGTGAAAGACTACAATCTTGAATATGAAAATGATATATTACTGTGATGACTTGATGTGTGGTATCCTCAGATCAATATAACTATGGTCTCCATTTACATTTTTTTATATCTACAAAGTAAATAAAAAGTTTGTACAACCATTAGATAGTTTGCTAATCCACCTAAAATCTTGTCAACCCTGAGAAATGAGATGCTCCTAGATCAGTTTTGGGGAATCCTCCTTCTATCTTCCAAAGTATATGAAAACTTATGGGCTAATCCTGAAAGGCTCCTTACCCTGTGCCATTCTGGAACTGTGACAGCCAAAAGGGATGGGGTAATGCAGATGTGTCATGACTGCTGAAGCTGGACAAAAAGAACATCCTCACCTATTACAAACAGTACATTTTTAGACATCATTAAGTGCCCTCCAGGTTCCACACATTTCACAATAATCTTTTAAAATAATTGCTACCACTTGAGTAGTACTCTCAGAAAATTACAAGGCTGTCAATTTATTCTCCAGCTTTTAAAATTCCATCACCCATTTCCCTAAGGTAACAGGCTGCAATGTCTTAAACCTCTAAAAAGAAGTCACATTTATATTATATATTATGTTGATATTTTCCTCACTTCTTTAATTTTTTAGAAAGTAAGTATAGACTTTTAGTTCATATTAATGTAGTATATGATTAATTATTCTCTACTTCATCTGGATTTTTTTAATTGGCAAAATTGATGTTGAAAGAAGTCCAGTAGTGAAGAGCATTATTATATTAATTTGTCACAAATTGTCTTTTTTTATTACTTAATACAAAGTACTGTTTTCCTAAAATGTTGAGATTGCAAGTTTCCTTTTCAAAAGTAAATTTTAACTGAGCATTCAGTTTTCAAATTTATAATAGAAGCACTTGCTAGAGTTTTTTTTAATAGTGTGTACATATTGGTTAATTAAGGCTTTGTTTGATACTACACCTATATAAGCTTCAGCAATACTATTAGAAACTTGCATCCCCCAAATCTGAAAATTTCTTTTGATTTTTTTCCTTTCATCAGGCACCCAAGTGTAAATCTAGCAAAAGTAAGTAAGGCCAAGCTTTGTAAAAACATTAACTCTCTATTTGGCTCTTGTCCTCTTTTGCCTACAATAGGTTGTCAAGTAAATAATTTGTGAGTTCCACATGTCACTGGGAAAGCCTGGAGTGATATTCATCCCAAAACTTTAGAGGATATGTCAGAACCTAATTTGTCGGCAAGTGTCTGTTCTCCCTCTTCCTCATTTTATGTATTAGCCCGTTCTCACACTGCTAATAAAGACATACCTGAGACCAGGCAATTTATAAAGCAAAGAGGTTTAATTGACTGACACACAGGGCTTGAAAGGCCTCAGGAAACTTACAATCATGGCATAAGGGAAAGCAAACATGTCCTTTTTCACATGGTGGCAGCAAGAAGTGCTGAGCAAAGTGTGGGAAAGCCCCTTATAAAACTATGAGATCTTGTGAGAACTCATTCACTATCACAAGAACAGTATGGAGGTAACCACCCCCATGATTCAACTACCTCCCACCAGGCTCCTCCTACAACACATGGGGATTAAGAGAACTACAATTCAAGATGAGATTTGAGTGGGGACAAACCATATCATTCTGCCCCTGGCTCCTCCCAAAACTCATATCCTCACATTTCAAAACGAATCATGCCTTCCCCACAGTCCCCCAAAGTCTTAACTCATTTCAACCTTAACTGAAATGTCCACAAGGTCTCATCTGAGACAAGGCAAATCTCTTCCATGAAGGAGCTTGGAAAATCAAAAGCAAGTTAGTTACTTCCTAGATACAATGAGGGTACAAGTATCGGGTAAATACACCCATTACAAATGGGAGAAATTGGCCAAAACAAAGGGGCTACAAGCCCCATGCAAGTCCAAAATCCAGCAAAGAAGTCAAATCTTAAAGGTCTGAAATGATCTCCTTTGACACCATGTCTCACATCCAGGTCATGCTGATGCAAGAGGTGGGCTCCCATGGCCTTGGATAACTCTGCCCCTGTTGCTTTGCAGGGTACAGCACCCCTCCTAACTGCTTTCACTGGCTGGTGTTGAGTGCCTGCAGCTTTTCCAGGTGCACAATGCAAGCTGTCAGTAGGTCTACTATTCTGGGGTCTGGAGGATGTGGGGTTTTTCAGTTGTGGGTTCATTAGGGCACTGCCAGTGCTCCATTAGGCCATGCCCCAGTGGGGACTTTGTGTGGGGGCTCCAACCCCACATTTTCCTTCCACACTACCCTAGCAGAGGTTCTCCATAAGGGCTCTGTCCCTGTAGTACACTTCTACCTGAGCATCCAGGCATTTCCATACATCCTCTGAAATCTAGTCAGAGGTTTCCCAACCTCAATTCTTGACTTCTGTACACCCACAGGCCCAATACCAAAGGCTTGGGATGGCAACCTCTGAAGTAATGGCCTGAGGTGTATCTTGGCCCCTCTTAGCCACAGCTGGAGCTGAAATAGTTGGGACACAGGAAGCCAAGTTTCTAGGATGCACATAGCAAGGAGGGGGCCCTGGCCTGGCCCATAAAACCATTTTTTACTCCTAGGCCCCCAGGCCTGTGATGGGAGGGGCTGCTGCAAAGGTCTGACATGTCCTGGAGACATTTTCCCTAATTTCTTTGTGCTTAGCATTTGGCTACACATTACCCATGCAAATTTCTGCAACAGGCTTGAATTTCTCCCATAAGATGTCTTTTTGTTTTTTATAGCATCATCGTGCCGCAAATTTTTCAAACTTTTATGTTCTGCTTCCTCTTGAATGCCTTGCCACTTAGAAATTAATTCTGCCAGGTACTTTAAATGACATCTTTCAAGTTCAAAGTTCCACAGATCTCTAGGGCAGGGGCAAAATGCCACCAGTCTCTTTGTATAGCAAGAGTGACCTTTGCTCTAATTTTCAACAAGTTGCTCATCTCCATCTGAAACCACCACGTCAGCCTGGACCTTATCGTGCATTTCACTATTGGCATTTCGGTCAAAGCCAAGTCTCTAGGAAGTTCCAAACTTTCCCATATCTTCCTGTCTTCTGAGCCTTCCAAGTCTCTAGGAAGTTCCAAACTTTCCCATATCTTCATGTCTTCTGAGTCCTCCAAGTCTCTAGGAAGTTCTAAACTTTCACACATTTTCCTATCATCTTCTGAGCCCTCCAAACTGTTCCAACCTCTGCCTATTACCTAGTTCCAAAGTTGCTTCTACATTTTCAGGCGCTGTTTTTTAGCAGCACCTCACTACCTGGTATCAATTTACTGTATTAGTCCATTCCCACACTACTAATAAAGACATATCCTGAACTGGGTAATTTATAAAGGAAAGAGGTTTAATTGACTTGTAGTTCTGTAGGGCTGGGGAGGCCTCAGGAAACTTATAATCATGGCAGAAGGGGAAGCACACACATCCTTCTTCACCTGGTGGCAGCAAGAAGTGCTGAGAAAAAGTGGGGATAAGCTCCTTACAAAAGCATCAGATCTCATGAGAACTTACTATCATGAGAACAGCATGGAGGTAACTGCCCCCCATGGATTCAATTACCTCCCACTGAGTCCCTCCTATGACACATAGGGATTATGGGAACTACAATTCGAGATGAGATTTGGGTGGGGACACAGCCAAATCATATTACTTCAGAAAAATAAAACCTCTTTCTACATAAGCATTCCATCACTCAGAACAAAAGTACATTTTCCTACTCTCCTTGTAGGTATTTGGGTACATGTAACAAAGGTCTGGACAAAGCATGCAAGCAGAACAATCATATGTGACTTCCAGAGTGAAAGAGGAGTATGTCTTTTCTTTCCTCCTTGTGCCCTCTTATATTGAAATGTGATAAGGTGCCTAGACCTTGCATAGCCATCTTAGTCCATGCAGTGATGACTAGAATATAGGCTAACCATGTGCCTGTTAATTCAGTTAATAGATACACTTATGTAACATGGAAAAGTGAATGATTAGCAAGATAATGTAAAGCAGACACTTATTTCTCAGTTTCTCTAACATATCTTGTGAATATGTTTATATGGGGGAATATTAAAAGATTCAAACACTTGTTTCAGATCTATCTTTCAAATCATGTTGTTGGACAATATGCCAGGCAATCAGACAAATATTTACTCAGAAATGAGATATCTAAGTAATGCCTATTTTCTTCATCCAAAAGAATCTTTTATCCACATAGAGAGCTTGCTCTTCAGTACACTAGATAGTAATCTTAAATATAATTCCACATAAGCTCATGATACTCACATTGGTACCAAATGCAGCTGCCAATATTCCTGAGATTCAAAACTTTCTGGCTATCTCTCCTTTTCAATCCATCAAACAATACATCATGAGAGTTCAAATAATTAGTGCCCATATTTTCTTGAAATTATGTAGAATACTGATAAAAGATATGAGAAATATGATGAAAGGGAACTGAAAAAACACAGCAGAGAATCCAGAGTTACATCTCATGGAAAAAATAAAACTTTAAAATTGGTCATGGGAGGGTCACTTCCAAGATGGCCCAATAGGAACAGCTCCAGTCTGCAGCTCCCAGCAAGATCAACATAGAAGATCACAGAAGTGATTTCTGCATTTCCAACTGAGGTACCTGGTTTGTGTCATTGGGATTGGTTGGACAGTGGGTGCAGCCCAAGGAGGGCAAGCAGAAGCAGGGTGGGGCATTGCCTCACCAGGGAAGCACAAGGGGTTGGGGGATTTCCCTTTCCTAGCCAAGGGAAGCCAGGACAGACTGTACCTGGAGAAACAGTACACTCCTGACCAAATACTGCACTTTTCCCACAGTCTTAGCAACCGGCAGACCAGGAGATACCCTCCCATGCCTGGCTCAGTGGGTCCCACACCCACAGAGCCTTGCTCACTGCTAGCACAGCAGTCTGAGATCAACCTGGGACACGAGAGCTTGGCAGGGGGAGAGGCGTTCACCATTGCTCAGGCTAGAGTAGCTCACAGTGTAAACAAAGAGGCCGGGAAGCACAAACTGGGCAGAGCCCACCACAGCTCACCAATGCCTACTGCCTCTATAGATTCCACCTCTGGGGGCAGGGCATAGTAGAACAAAAGGCAGCAGACAGCTTCTGCAGACTTAAATGTCCCTGTCTGACAGATCTGAAGAAAGCAGTGGTTCTCTCAGCATGGCGTTCGAGCTCCAAGAAAAGACAGACTGCCTCCTCAAGCAGGTCCCTGACCCCCATGTAGCCCAACTGGGAAAGACCTCCCAGTAGGGGCTGACAGACACCTCAAACAGGTGGGTGCCCCTCTTGGATGAAGCTTCCAGAGGAAGGATCAGGCAGCAATCTTTGCTGTTCTACAGCCGCCGCTGGTGATACCCAGGCAAAAAGGGTCTGGAGAGGACCTCCAGCAAACTCCAACAGACCTGCAGCTGAAGGGTCTGACTGTTAGAAGGAAAACTAACAAACAAAAGGGAATAGCATCAACATCAACAAAAAGGATATCCACAACAAAACCTCATCTGTAGGTCACCAACACCAACATCAAAGACCAAAGGTAGATAAAACCACAAAGATGGGGAGAAGCCATAGCAGAAAAGCTGAAAAGCCAAAAAACAGAGCATCTCTTCTCCAAAGGATCGCAGCTCCTCGCCAGCAAGGGAACAAGACCGGACAGAGAATGAGTTTGATGAGTTGACAGAAGTAGACAATAGAAGGTCAGTAATAACAAACTTCTCTGAGCTAAAGAAGCATGTTCTAACCCATCCCAAGGAAGCTAAAAACTTTGAAAAAAGGTTAGATGAATAGCTAACTAGAATAAAAAATATAGAGAAGACCTTAAATTACCTGAAGTAGCTGAAAAACACAGCACGAGAACTTTGTGATGCATGCACAAGCTTCAATAGCTGATTTGATCAAGTGGGAGAAAGGATATTAGTGACTGAAGATCAAATTAATGAAATAAAGTGAGAAGACAAGATTAGAGAAAAAAGAGTGAAAGGAAATGAACAAAGCCTCCAAGAAATATGGGACTATGTGAAAAGACAAAATATAGGTTTGATTGGTGTACCAGAAAGTGACGGGGAGAATGGAACCAAGTTGGAAAACACTCTTCAGGATATTATCCAGGAGAACTTCCATAACCTAGAAAGGCAGACCAATATTCAAATTCAGGAAATACAGAGAACACCAGAAAGATACTCCTTGAGAAGAGCAACCCCAAGACACATAATTGCCAGATTCAACAAGGTTGAAATGAAGGAAAAAATGTTAAGCGCAGCCAGAAAGAAAGGTCGGGTTACCCACAAGGGGAAGCCCATCAGACTAACAGCAGATCTCTTGACAGAAACACTACAAGTCAGATAAGAGTGGGGACTAATATTCAACATTCTTAAAGAAAAGAATTTTCAACCCAGAATCTCATATCCAGCCAAACTAAGCTTCATAAACGAAGGAATAATAGACAAGCAAATGCTGAGAGATTTTGTCACCACCAGGCCTGACTTACAAGAGTTCCTGAAGGAAGCACTCCACATGGAAAGGAACAACTGGTACCAGCCACTGCAAAACCATGCCAAATGGTAAAGACCATCGATGCTATGAAGAAACTGCATCAATTAATGGGTAAAATAACCAGCTAACATCATAATGACAGGATCAAATTCAAACATAACAATATTAACCTTAAATGTAAATGGGCTAAATGCCCCAATTAAAAGACACAGATTAGCAAATTGGATAAGGAGTCAAGACCCATTGGTGTGCTGTACTTAGGAGACCCATCTCACGTGCAAAGATGCACATAGGCTCAAAATAAAGGGGTGGAGGAAGATCTACTAAGCAAATGCAAAGCAAAGAAAAAAGCAGGGGTTGCAATCCTAGTCTCTGATAAAACAGACTTTAAACCAACAAAGATCAAAAGAGACAAACAAGGCCACTACATAATGGTAAAGGGATCAATTCAACAAGAAGAGCTAAGTATCTTAAATATATATGCACCCAATACAGGAACACTCAGATTCATAAAACAAGTCCTCACAGACCTACAAAGAGACTTAGACTCCTACACAATAATAATGGGAGAGTTTAACACCCCATTGTCAATATTAGAACAAAGAGACAGAAGGTTAACAAGGATATCCAGACTTAAACTCAGCTCTGGACCAGGCAGACCTAATACACATCTACAGAACTCTCCACCCCAAATCAACAGAACATACCTTCCTCTCACCACCATATCACCCTTATTCTAAAATTGACCACATAATTGGTAGTAAAACACTCCTCAGCAAATGTAAAACAACAGAAATCAAAACAAACTGTCTCTCAGACCACAGTGCAATCAAATTAGAACTCAGGATTAAGAAACTCACTCAGAACTGCACAACTACATGGAAACTGAACAACCTGCTCCTGAGTGACTACTGGGTAAATAACGAACTGAAGGCAGAAAAAAAGATGTTCTTTGAAACCAATGAGAACAGAGACACAACATACCAGAATCTCTGGGACACATTTAAAGCAGTGTGTAGAGGGAAATTTATTGCACTAAATGCCCACAAGAGAAAGGAGGAAAGATCTAAAATTGACACCCTAACATCACAATTAAAAGAACTAGAGAAGCAAGAGCAAACAAATTCAAAAGCTAGCAGAAGGCAAGAAATAACTAAGATCAGAGCAGAACTGAAGGAGATAGAGACACAAAAAAACCCTTCAAAAAATGAATGAATCCAGGAGCTGGTTTTATGAAAACATCAAAAAAATTGATAGACCACTAGCAAGACTAATAAAGAAGAAAAGAGAGAAAAATCAAATAGATGCAATAAAAAATGATAAAAGGGATATCACCACCAATCCCACAGAAATACAAACTACCATCAGAGAATACTATAAACATCTCTACGCAAATAAACTAGAAAATCTAGAAGAAATGGATAAATTCCTGGACACGTACACCCACCCAAGACTAAACCAGGAAGAAGCTGAATCTATGAATAGACCAAAACAGGTTCTGAAATTGAGGCAATAATTAATAGCCTACCAACAAAAAAAAGCCCAGAACCAGTAGATTCACAGCTAAATTCTACCAGAGGTACAAAGAAGGGCTGGTACCATTCCTTCTGAAACTATTCCAATCAATAGAAAAAAAAAAAGAATCCTCTCTAACTCATTTTATGGGACTAGCATCATCCTGATACCAACACCTGGAAGAGACACAACAAAAAAATAAAATTTCAGGCCAATATCATTGATGAACATCAATGTGAAAATCCGCAATAAAATACTGCCAAACCAAATCCAACAGCATATCAAAAAGCTTATCCACCACAATCAAGTTGGCTTCATCCCTGGGAAGCAAGGCTGGTTCAACATACACAAATCAATAAATGTGATCCATCACATAAACAGAACCAATGACAAAAACTACATGATTATCTCAATAGATACAGAAAAGGCCTTTGATAAAATTCAGCAATGCTTCATGCTAGAAACTCTCAATAAACTAGGTATTCATGGAACATATCTCAAAATAATAAGAGCTATTTATGACAAACCCATGCCAATATCATACTGAATGGGCAAAAACTGGAAGCATTCCCTTTGAAAACTGGCACAAGACAAAGATGCCCTCTCTCACCACTCCTATTCAACATAGTATTGGAAGTTCTGGCTATGGCAATCAGGCAAGAGAAAGAAAGAAAGAGTATTCAACTGGGAAAAAGAGGAAGTCAAGTTGTCTCTGTTTGCAGATGACATGATTGTATATTTAGAAAACCCCATCGTCTCAGCCCCAAATCTCCTTAAGCTGATAAGCAACTTCAGCAAAGTCTCAGGATACAAAATCGATGTGCAAATATCACAAGCATTCCTATACACCAATAATAGACAGAGAGCCAAATCATGAGTGAACTCTCATTCACAATTACTACAAAGAGAATAAAATACCTAGGAATCCAACTTACAAGGGATGTGAAGGACCTCTTCAAAAAGAACTACAAACCACTGCTCAATGAAATAAAAGAGTACACATACAAATGGAAGAACATTCCATGCTCATGGGTAGGAAGAATCAATATTGTGAAAATGGCCATACTGCCCAAGGTAATTTATAGATTCAATGCTCTGCCCATCAAGCTACCAATGACTTTCTTCACAGAATTGGAAAAAATTACTTTAAAGTTCATATGGAACCAAAAAGGAGCCCGCATTGCCAAGACAATCCTAAGCAAAAGGAACAAAGCTGGAGGCATCATGCTACCTGACTTCAAACTATGCTATAAGGCTACAGTAACCAAAACAGCATGGTACTGGTACCAAAACAGATATATAGAATAATGGAACAGAACAGAGGCCTCAGAAATAACACCACACATCTACAAACATCTGATCTTTGACAAACCTGATGAAAACAAGCAATGGGGAAAGGATTCCCTATTTAATAAATGGTGCTGGGAAAACTGGCTAGCCACATGCAGAAAGCTGAAACTGGATCCCTTCCTTACGCTGTATACAAAAATTAACTCAAGATGAATTAAAGACAAATGTAACACCTAACACCATAAAAACCCTAGAAGAAAACCTAGGCAATACCATTCAGGACATAAGCATGGGCAAAGATTTCATGACTAAAACAACAAAAGGAATGGCAACAAAAGCCAAAATTGACAAATGGATCTAATTCAACTAAAGTGCTTCTGCACTTTTTTCACTTCATCAGAGTGAATAGGCAACCTACAGAATGGGAGAAAATTTTTGCAATCTACTCATCTGACAAAGGGCTAATATCAAGAATCTACAAAGAACTTAAACAAATTTACAAGAAAAAAAAAACCATCAAAAAGTGGGTGAAGGATATAAACAGACACTTCTCAAAAGAAGACATTTATGCAGCCAACAAACAGATGAAAAAAAGCTCATCATCACTGGCCATCAGAGAAATGCAAATCAAAACCACAATGAGATACCATCTCAAGCCAGTTAGACTGGCAATCATTAAAAAGTCAGGAAACAACAGATGCTGGAGAGGATGCGGAGAAATAAAAACGCTTTTACACTGTTGGTGGGAGTGTAAATTAGTTCAACCATTGTGGAAGACAGTGTGGCAATTCATCAGAGATCTAGAACTAGAAATACCATTTGACCCAGCAACACCATTACTGGGTATATACTCAAAGGATTATAAATCATGCTGCTATAAAGACACAGGAACACATATGTTTATTGTGGCACTATTCACAATAGCAAAGACTTGGAACCAACCCAAATGTCCATCAATGATAGACTGGATTAAGAAAATGTGGCACGTATACACCATGGAATTCTATGCAGCCATAAAGAAGGATAAGTTCATGTCCCTTGCAGGGACATGGATGAAGCTGGAAACCATCATTCTAAGCAAACTATCACAAAGACAGAAAATGAAACACCGCGCGTTCTCACTCATAGGTGGGAGTTAAACAATGAGAACACATGGACACAGGGCAAGGAACATCACACACTAGGGCCTGGCCTGTCCCCAGATGGGGGCCTGGGGGAGGGATAGCATTAGGAGAAATACCTAATGTAAATGATGAGTTGATGGGTGCAGCAAACCAACATGGCACATATGTGTCTATGTAACAAACTTGCACGTTGTACACATGTACCCTAGAACTTAAAGTATAATTTTTTAAAATGGTCATAATATATGTATTTGAATCATGAGAGTATAAAGGGTCGTTCATTATCACTTAACCTCAATGTTACTTAATGACATAGATAGCATTTATCTCTCCACCATCTCACTGAATGGAATACCATTCAGAGAGATAAGAGCAAAAGGATATCCTGTCCTCATTGTCTGGAATATTGTATCCAGAACAGTCTGAAATACACTTTTCAAAAATGAGTCATCCTTTAATGAGTAAATTAATTAGAGGAAAAGTCATGGAACAACCAGAATTTTTTTTATTCCAAATACCTTACACAAATGCCTGCAATACAGTCAGTTTTCATTCATTATTTGTAGAAAGGTTGAGTTACAGAGCCAAATAAGCAAGTGCCAAAGAATCTCAAGTGCATGGATGTGGGTCAGTCAAAAGTTTACGTAAGAGCTGTCCATGAAAGTACACTTGTCAAATAAGCAAGAATCAAAGTTAAGAGTCAGGAATACGATCGTAGCAATGTCTTATACTATGCACTACTTTATTTATCCCTGCAATTGCTCCATCAACTCATACTCTCATTCCCATTTCAAAGATGAGAAAACTGAGCCGTTGAAGGGTTATGAATTTGCCCAGCCTCACACAGGTTGTCAGAATTGCAATCCCTATGATAATACTGTGTTGGGGCTCAGAAACCAATACCCCCAAAAAAGGCATTTTTGTTCCTGGAGAGAGCAGATGTCCAGTTCTTGTCTAACTTGTGTCAGATGTTTGAACAAAAGCCACTCTGTCTTGAATAGGGGCTGGGTAATATGGGGCTAGGACCTGCTGGGCAACATTCCCAAGAGGTCAGGCATTCTTAGTCACAGGATGAAATAGGAGGTTGCGGGACTGGTATCACAAAATACAGGTCATAAAGACCCTCCTGGTAAAACAGGAAGGGCAAAGAAGCCAGCAAAAACCCACCAAAGCCAACATGGCTACTAAAGTGACCTCTAGTCATGCTCACTGCTCATTATATGTTACTTATAATGCATCAGCATGCTAAAGACACTCCCATCAGCCCATGACAGTTTACAAATGCCACAGCAATGTTGGGAAGTTACCCTATATAGTCTAAAAGTGGGAGGAAACCTCAGTTCCAGGAATTGCCCACCCCTTTCCTGGAAAACTCATAAATAATCCCCCCCTTGTTTACCATATGATCAATAAATAACCATAAAAATAGCCAACCAGCAGCCCGGAGGGTTTAGGGAGTAGCCATTCTTTTGTTCCTTTGCTTCTCTAATAAATTTGCTTTTACTTCATTCTATTGACTTGCCCCAAATTCATTCTCGTGCAAGATCCAATATCCCTCTCTTGGGGTCTGGATTGGGGCCCCTTTCTGGTAACACTTGAAAGAAAAAAATTCAACTAAGACACAGGACAAAGATAGCAGATAATTTTATTGAATAGAAATATCATTTAAAGAGCTTCTTGTAGAAAAAAAGAGATGTGCCCCAAGGCAGGAGCAGAATGATCCTGTAGGAAAACAGCACCAAGTGACCTGTGCAGGGAGTTTAATCACGTCAAACTTTCTTCAAATTCCTTCTTCTGTCTCAAGTCTCCACCCTTTCCTTTGTCTAATTTTTCCTGCTTCAGCCTTAAATCCCTGCCTTTGCCTCACCTAGGCTTGTGGGACCCTAATTTACTGTTGGTTAATGTGCATGTGCAGGGCTGGTGATCAACAGAATTCCTGCCTGATGGTGGCCCTGCTCATTATCCCCACCCCATGAAAGTTATGTAGCAATCAAATCTATACCTAGCGTGCTTGGGTATCTCTTTGAAATTGTCTTATCTGTTCTAATCTATATTTATGGTGTCAGGGTTTTCTTAGGAATGTCCCTTTCGCCCTTTTTATAAGCATGTAGCTAGAGATATTCTGACATTTTAACAGTAGAATGAACGATTACTGGGGCATCTTACGAGGGGTTCTGGGGGATTTCTTTCTTCCTATGTACCTCCTTTCCTTCTTACCCACATTTGACTAAGTGCTCACTCACTCCAGCAAACCTTTCATAAGCAAATTTTGGGTGGTCCCTCGGGAATGAGCCTTCCCAGACTTTTCCTTTCTCAGGGGCTCCCCTTGCCTACTCGTGTCTTGCTATTTTAGCAATTTCTTCACTTTGATTGAAAGAGAAATGAAATACCTACCTTCTCCAGGTCTCTCTGACCTCCTCCCACCCCCATGGTCTCTCCAATATTGTTGAAGTTCATTTACCTGCCCAATATCCAAACCGACCAAGGAGAACAATTGTTTATTCTTTCCCTCCTTATCTCATTATCAATTGCAGAAAAGACCAAGACTACAGCCACAGCTGCACAGGCTCTTTTACAAGTATAATGACTATCTCAAGAATCATTTACATTCCAAAGAGAACTATTTGCAAGTTAATCTCTGATTCTGGATTCATTCATTCTCCCTAGTAATCCCCTCAACACTCCTATTTTACCCATAACCTATTTTACCAGGATTCAAGCCCTGTTGTTTCTATAACTTCAAGATGGTATATAAGCTTATCTACCTCGTTAGGAAGTTAAGCCTTCATTGTGAAGTCTTCCACATATATATGTTAAATAAATTTTTATGCCTTTTATCCTACTATCTACTTCATGTCAGTGATTTTTCAGTGAGCCTTTGGACAGCCAAGAGACTGAATCATAATAACAACAAAAGCAAGAGCAAGTAACAAGGTAGACACAGATTTGCAAAGATCAAGTCAATTCTTTAGTGATTTTTGACATAACTAATAAAAATGCCAAAGACCCATTGTTTAAATTCTGAATAATTTGTCACTGCACTTCCAGACTAGACTATGCTCTTCCAGACTGAACTAACAATAGATTTGAAAAACTTATAACTAAGCATATTATTTTAGCAATGTTTTCAGTCTGGTTGAAATAGAAATGAATTACCTTCTAAGCAATGTTCAAAATATTCAAATTAGTTTAATGAGTTGCAATGAAATCCCTTTAAAATATATTAAAGCACAATTCAGACAAGCTTATTACTTGCTTAGCAATGTAACAATTGTTGGCTGATTTAATAAGTACTGTACTGTATTTCCCTTGTATTTATTTACTGATATAGGACTTAAGAAGGAATTACTTGGGCAGATACCAAGGGTATGGGAGTCCTCATTAAGGCTTTTACTTTTAACAAACAGCAGCCCCAAATCATTTTCTAGCAAACAGTATTTTCTAGCAAACTGGGAGCTTGCACAGGTGAATGCCAGCAGGAACTAAGGACTAGACATTTTCAAAATGGCGGCTCTATCTTCCCTTCTCTGCCAGCCATGTGTATTATAAGAAACAGACAAGATGGTGGTGCTGATCAACTAGAAAGCCCCATTTGCATAAGAGGATTAGGGTGAGGCAATCAGCCTTCCCTGAGTGCTATGTGAACGTCATACCTGATCAACCCAATCTGCGAGTCTTACATAAATCAGACACTGCCTCCTCAAATGGACTATAAAACTCAGTGCATTCATTGCCAGCTGGTCCTCTCTCTGCTCAGAGATCCCTTCCTCTATAGAAGAAGCTGTTTCTCTTTCTCTTTTCTTCTACCTATTCGACCTCTGCTCCTAAACTCCTCATGTGTGTCTGTGTCCTAAATTTTCCCAGAGCATGACAATGAACCCAGTTTTATACTCCAAACAGCATAGCCACTTCATAATGGGGGTTTGTCCGGGATACTAAGGTACAACATTCATTGAAATGGTGAGTAGAGGAGCGGACTCCAACTCTGTCCTTTCATTCAGAGGCTCTCGGCCTCCATTTTAGACCTTTCACTGAGGACTTAGCTGTTGCATGCGACTGGAAGAAGTCCTGGGGCAACTCAGGATTTCTGGCCAGGGCCACCCCCAGGTGTGTTATCCAAAGGCTTCTGAACTGACTCCAGCCTCCAACCACCCCAACGGAGTGTTGGCAACAGGATCTCCAACTTTCCTATCATAATTTCCTCCTTTCCAGTCCATGACCTTTATATCTCATATCCTCTCTGTGTGGATAAGATGTGTGGGAAATTTTACAGTTCAGGAAAGTAATCTTGTTTAGCAACATCAGGGAATGTCATAGTAACTGGGAATATAACTCAAGGGAAGTTGTGTTTGTGATTTCCTAGGAACAGAGGGTTCTCCCCACGCCCACAAGTGAGCATCTCTGTCTCTCTCAGCCCTTGGTCTGGAGAGCATATGGCATTGCCAGATCTCTCTCTGCCCTTGGTGTGGAAAGCGCATGGCATTTCCAGGCCTCTCTCTGCCCTTGGTATGGAAAGCACATGGCATTTCCAGGTCTCTCTCTGCCCTTGGTCTGGAGAGCTCATGGTGTCTCAAGGCCAACAACTCCACTTAGTGGAATAGGGATCCTCTCCAAGAGGCACGTTTTTGGTCCTTTACCAAAACAACCTAGCTTTCCAATTCCCTTCTCTTTCTGGTCCTCTCTACTAGAAACCAGGCTTTATGCTGCCTCTGTAAATGGGAAAATTCTACCTTCAACAACTAGGAGTAAAATATCCTCCGAAGCCAAATCTTAGTCTTGATACTGTCCCATCAGCAGGAAAATAGTCATTCAGTCCCTATGTTCTTTTAAGGCACCTATTCTGCCCCCAATTAGAGTGGTACTTAATTACTAAGGTGATTTTAGTTCTGAAGTTAATAGGAACCATTCTGTAAGGGTAAATACTTTAGCTCAAGCCATAATAGCAGGATATAGAGTTCAATCTAGCACTCCTCCTTCATTACAGAGGCCTTGCCCAACTATTATATAGTTTTTCTTGAGATCTAGTTTTTGGGGAGCCAGGCAGGTCACACAAGTCTAGGAAGTCAAAGGAGAATCACAGGCAGAGAACTAGAGCCACTTGCATGAGCATGATTAACGCCAATCACTTACTTCCTCTGGTTCCATGGCTGGGGGTTATCCCTGAAACCATGGGTGGTATGTTCAACAAGGTGCCAGGACCCAGGAAACACAGAGGCAAAATAGCAAGAGGGATACCCCCACTGTTTTCCTCTTTACCCTGGGCCACACCAAAAGGAAGGAGACTAAAGGGACTCATTTTTCTTGCTTTTCTTTCTAGATAGGTACCATCTTCAGCCTGTACTCCCCTGGAGTGCATTATGAAGCACAAGGACTCCTTTGACCCTGAGATTTTAAAGACAAAAGTGGCTCATTTTCTTTTGCACGAGGGCATAGCCTTTTTACCAGATCTTTGCAAGCATTACAAAATCAACTCAGGCCTTTTAGCAATCAGATCAGGCAGGCCCAAAGAGAACAATTCCCCAAAAATTAGAAAAGCAACTTCCAAGGCAACCATCTGAGACAGCTATTGGGTGTCCCAGCCCTTCAAGCCCCTCTTATCTGGAGTCACCTCAAACCACACCACCAGCTTTTCCACCTCCACCATATCCAAAATTTCCCACTCCCCTACCTTTGCTCTTACCCCTATAGGAAATTCCCAATGGAGGTGATGCCACTAGGGTTCAAGTTCCCTTCTCATTGCAGGTCCTTAGGCAAATAAAAGGAGGCTTAGTCTGATTTTCTGAAGATCCTGATAGGTATATAGAAGCTTTCCAAAATTTAACTCAGGTGTTTGACCTCTCGTGAAGGGTGAGCAATATGTCTCCTATAATAGGCCTGAAAGGAAAAAGAAAATGAGGAAGGGAAACAAATAAGAAAAACACCATTCCCAATAGGAAGAGAGGCAGTACCTCTTGATGACCCTAATTGGTGCCCCCAGACTTTTCTATGGTGTTTTTCCTTCTTTCAAGGTTTACAATGGCTCCTATCTCTTCTTTTATAATGTTCCTCCAAACTAGGAGAAGTGAATTTCCCCAAACCTTAAAATGCTTGGCTTAGAGTTGAGCTGGGGGAAGGGAACCCAGAGGCCTGACATGCTGGCAAAAAGGTAAAAGGTTATGTTTGTTTGTTTTTTTAACTAGCCAAGTTTTGGCTTCTCTCTACCCACGCAAACTGGAAAAAGGGATAATAAGGATCATTGTTTATATTCTCTGTAAAATTGTAATAAAAAAAGATTTGTGAGGTTGGTCTTAAGCTGTAGCCAGTCTGTTGTGCTTCATGTGTCTTTCTGTATGGTTCTGTCAAAAGAAGGAGTACCTTACGTTAGGATGCAGGCCCAGGACCCCATAAGCCTGCTGATCAAGCCAACCCAACAAAACGGCCAGTAACAAACATGGCTATAGGCCTCCATCTTGTTTCATGTGCTTGGCAACATGACCTGTAACCACATGGCAATACTTTGTTTTAGTCTGTACCATTTTACAATGGTTGCCATCTCCTTATGCTAAGTCAGTTCCTGAATAGGGGCCACAAAATCAGATAAGCTAGTTTGTTGATCTGGATGGTGTCAGCTGTTCCATCAAGGGCAAGGTTTACAAAATATCTTAAGCACTGATCTTGAGAGCAGTTTAAGGAGCGTCAAAATTTTTAGCATCCAGCTGCATGACTCCTAAGCCATGGTGTCCAATCTTGTGGCTAGTTACTTGGTCTGGTCCCCAGGCAAGAGGGAAATATATCTTAAGAAGGGGCTGTTATCGTCTTTGTTTTGGACTATAAACTGTAAACCAGGGTCCTCCCAAAGTTGGTTTGGCCTACAACCAGGGATAAGCAAGGACAGCTTGGGGGTTGGAAACAAAATGGAGTTGGTTGGGTTGGATCTCTTTCACTATATCTCAGTCATAATTTTGCAATAATGGTTTCAAAAGCTGCCTTTCATCTCTTTGAAAATACCTTGTACACTCATTGTTAAGTCATAACCTAATTAAGGCTTGTTGGTTTCACCTGTGAGGTCACTTTTTGTAACGTTCAAAAGCTGAAAATCTTAACAGCTTGGTGTGGCTAAAGTTGAGTAACAAGGGATTTAAAAGGATTTTCTTAAAGAGTGCTCAGCTTAATTAAAAGTGGACATTCAAGTTATAGGTATATTTTTCTTAGTCAAATGAATTTTTTTTTCTGTTTTTTTCTTGCCACTCTTAATGCATGTGTGAGAGGGCCTAAGATAACTTCTGGTAGCATGGGACTCCTTGGGAAAAACAAAGGAGTCGCCATAGACCCCATTCTGGGGGGAAAAAAAAAAAAACACCTCTGTTTTCCTCATGAGACCCCAGGAATTAAAAGTGGATAGTTCCCTCTCAAAACCAAAGGTTCTTTTCTGTTTTGCATTGTGTTATCTAACAGTTTTGAGTTTTGGAGATAACAAGTTACCTCACATTAAGAGGGAGCTTTGGTGTATAAAAACTAGGTAGGAAATACATTTTAAGGGATGGCTAATAGTAGTTATAAATCAGAGAAGCATGCTCTTGGCCACCTGAAAGATATGGAAACATCCCCACCTCCAACTGAGGGATAAGCCAACTGGCTTTAGGTTGCCTTGCAATGAAATACATGGTAGAAGCACTGACCGTCTTCTTCCATAGTATCTCCTTCCCTTTGGGGATCCAAAATCCTGTATAAAAAGGCACCCTTAATTTTGGGGAATCTGTCTTTGTCTTCAGCTGTGCCTACTTATTACGCCCTAGAAATGCATTCCTTCCTGGCCCTGTTCCTCCAAGGGCTCCACCCTGCAGCCAATAATCCAATTAAGAAACTGGCAAATGAAAAATCTTACAAATGCTGAATCTTCTGTCTGTTTGTGTCACTATATGTGTGTTGTGTGTAATGTCTATAAAAAGAGCTCTAATTGGCTTAAAGAAAAACAAGCACTTAAATCAAATATGTTTTCATTTAAGTGACTTTAATCTTTAAGAAATAAAAATAGTCTTAAGGATTATTGGTAAAATGCAAGTGCCATCAAAATGCAAATAGGTGGTCTAAATCATACAATTAGATACTAGCTTTGCTAAATGTGTTAAGGTTGTATACGGCCTGCTTTACAGATAGGTAAGGCCTGGGACACATGGAGTTAGATGCTGGAAGGAGTCAGGCCTTATTGGTACTTCTGTCTGGGTCCTAGGCTCCATAGCTGGTACATAATTAAAATCACTTACTAACCAGGTTTTTCACCAAACATACAAGTTGCTATGAGTTAACAGTGCAACATGTATTTGAGATCACTAAATAGTATTACATGCAAGGAGCATAATAACAGTAAGCTATGTCTTTTTAGTAAAAGAATATAAGAAAGCATGGGAATGTAAATTTTGCCCAGGGAACGAGGGATTATGTTAAATTTGATAAGATAAAGCTAGAGGTTTAAGCAAGTTACAGAAAGATTGTAAAAATTAATCTTGCAAAAATGTGTAAGCATTAACTAAATTCAAAAGGATGTTATATGGTCTTTTCCATAAATTGAGCATTGAAATAAAAGCACAGCAAGGTCGTCCAAAAATGCTAATCTGCCCTTTATCAAAAAGGGTTATAAAGGTTTTGTAAAGATTTCACCTCGTGGTCAAATTGGTAAGATTAGGTGGAATCATCTGTAGGGTTTCATTTAAACAAATTGGGATTAACATTCATAAACTAATGCAAGGGTAAAATTTGGCTTTGAACAGGATTTTCATGTCATAATGAAGGCTAATAAAAGGTATTTATCTTTTGAGTCGTGATTTTGGCCAAATAAATAATTTATGGCAACATGGAATTCTATTTCATAAAATCAAGCGTTTTAAACCTCTAACATTTAATAAGTGCCCCAGAAGCAAACTTTAAGTTTCAAAATTGTCTTTTCTAATGCCTGGCTTTCTGGATGGTTCAGAGGGCCCCTGAAACATTCAGAAAAGAGGTGACCAGGATTATTTGACACGTTTAGTCACATGAGATTGCCAAAATGATATCCAATCTTCTTTAAGTTATATTTTGGTGAACAATTCTAATATATGTTCCAAAATTATATGGGATTTCTAAAATTCTGATGTCTGAATATATGCTCTCAATCATAATCAAGGGTGAAGTTATTGTAAGCCACAGAGATAACTAAACTTCTTTGTCAGTCATGTTTTCAACTGTAACTATCGTGGAAATTTTGTCATTCACAGACAATCGTTGTCTGCTTTGTTCCTTCTCAAAAGATTGGTTATAATCAAGCTATAAGACTTTAACAGGTCTTAGCAAATGCAGGTTTTTAATAGCTTTGAAGATTGTAACATTGGAATAGAGAAACAACGTATGCAACTCACGAAGAACTGAAATGTTCACAAATGTCAAGCAAAACAAGGTTAACTAAATGGACTGCACTCAGAAATTAAAGCAAACTTTTTGAATATTGCTTGAAATATTGCTGATCCTTGTTTTGTTTTTCAGAGTCAAGGAAACTTATTTTGAATTATTTACAGCCTTTAATAATTGAGTAAGGTATACTCCTGTAAATAAAATTTGGAGCATATTTGTTTCTCTCTGCCTGGTACCTCTGGAATTTGGAAGCTATCTGTGGTACTCTTAACTTATGGCAATATAGTTGTTTGCATCAGTCCAATAAGAGTCCATTTTTGTTTTTCAACAGGACACAACTGGAAAAACTGATTATTTTACAAAGGCTTTGACTGGAAGGATGCATTTCCCTTTAAGGAATCAAGCTGGATGTGCAGAGCAGATAAAAGCTCCATGGGGATAACTGGCCTCATACCTTGCCTACACAGTCTCTGCACAGGGTTTCTAACCTGTGGTCAGCAAAGAATTTCACTTCCTAACAGGTCCAGGAGCTCCAAGTTTATCTTGGAACACTAAGAGAAAAGGGTCACCCAACTCACAGGTATTTGAGGATAAAAACCCACGGCTGGGCTCGGCTTTAAAAGGTCTTATCTGAGATTCCTTGTGGAACAGAGTTCCATCAAGGCCAATCCAAAAGACCTACGTATAAATAACCATTCTCACTACACTTTATGCAAATAATCAGACCAAGTATAAGACTCAAGTTTATTCTATGAACAACACAGTCCTATCATAATTTGTTTTTTTTACCAAAAATGAGGACTAGAGAAAGTATTCTCCAAAGCTTATTACACATTTGTCATTAAATCCTAGTCTCATTAGTTGTTTTTAAGCTTTTTGCCTACATTTTAGACTAACCCTGCTTATTCCTTTGAATCAAGTGGTGATCTGCTGCAGCTTAGAAGAAACAAAAAGGGGTGGATAATGTAAAAATATGGATCAATATGCTAGTTCTAGGCAGTTATCCTGCAAATTCTGCCAGATAATAAAAAGAAGGGCGCCCATAACCCAGAGGTTTCTTTGGGAAAATAAAACCAAGAAACTTCATAGAGCCCCAAAGGAAATTCTATATCTTGGCAAGTAAAATTTTGATGGAAAAATCTACTACGTCACCCTTGCAAGACAGAGCATCCCTATTGCTATGGTATTTTGCTTAATTAGTATCCTTATAGCAGGGATAATAGCTACCAACAACAAGGAAGCATGAAAGTTTTAGTATCTCTGAGTTTGCTAGAAATTCTTACTGGGTTTGGTAATATCTCACACCCTAGCTATGCAAAGAAGATTATAAAAGAAAGAGATTTTCTGTGAAAGTCATGACGGGATTGATAATGACAGGAAACATCTAGCCAAGGTTAACACTAAAGTTACTCTAGCCACCCAAATCCAAGAAAGATGTTCTTTTTTCTCTTTTCTTCTACCTATTCAACCTCTGCTCCTAAACTCCTTGTGTGTGTCTGTGTCCTAAATTTTCCTGGGGCATGATGGGCAAACCCCAGACAAATGTAGCTGCTTCATTACCATGTTTGGAAGTGCCTCATTTGTAGTATACTCACAGAGTCAACATACCCTAGTGGTTAAGATTACAATCAGATTATCTGGGTTTTAATCTGGGCTTCACTGTTATAGCAGGTATTAATAGTCAGACTTGAGCAGGGCCGGCGAACCCTCCACCCTCAACACCAGGAATGTCAAACAACTATCAGGTGATGATCAGGCAGTTGCTAAACTGTCTCAAATAATAACTGGTCACAGCCAGAGCCAGAGAAAGGCATTCTCCCAACAGACAGAAAACACTTGAATCTGGTGATAAGCAGCTTCCCAATAAGATCAGTAGTAGGGCGAGTGAGCTAAAACATGTGCACTAAGAGGCAAAATGGCAGAGTTGAACTGATATACAACCTTCCTCTAGGAAGCACTCAACTGGTAAGGGAAAAACACCTCAATTGAGCATGTATACAACTTCAGTAAATGCTGCATGTGCAGCCCCTCCCAAGGGCTGGCAGGCCACTGTGCATCAGGACAGCCCACCCCAAGGGAAGAATTAGGGGAGATGGGACAAAACCCCCTGGAAGTGTGCCAACATATGAAACCCTAAGTCAAAGGTCAAACCATGCATTTGAATCTCTCAAGTCACCCACTTGGCCCTCTTCTAAGTGTACTTTACTTCCTTTCATTCCTGCTCTGAAACTTCATAATAAACTTTCCCTCCTCCTCTAAAACTTGCCTTGGTCTTTTCCTCTACCTTATGCCCCTCAGTCAAATTCTTTCTTCTGAGGAGGCAAGAATTGAGGTTGCTGCAGACCCATACAGATTTGCCACTGCTAACATCACTACTTGCCAGCTATGTGAACATAGCAAAATCTCTCAAATTTTCTGAACCTCAGTTTCTAATTTGTAAAGAAAATAATAGCAATTATTCCATAGAACCATTGAGAGAATTATGTAAGTTAACATATGTAAGGTGCTTAGAACAGGATGTGGCATATTTTAACCACTCAGTGAATTTTAGCAACTATTATAATTATATATAATTTATATAATATTTATATAAAATATATAAAATATATAAAATATTATATAAAATATAATTTATATAATATTTATATAAAATATATATAATTTAGCAACTATTATAATTATAAATATAGGTAAGCTATATTATAATGGAATTTTATTCTGTTTCCAAAACATAAATGGGCTCACTAGCATTCAATAATACAGCCTATTAAGATGTAGAATAATGGTATATCCACAAAAAAAATACCCATCTTGGAAGTATGGTATATCATTTCTCCATCTTTTTTTTTTATATATTTTTGCTATATAGAAGAAGAAGGAGGGGAGGAAAAGGAGGACAGCTGAGAAATTATCAGTGTTTAGGCAGACATTGTGGCACATGCCTGTAGTCCCAGCCACTCAGGAGGCTGAGGCAGGTGGATGAGTTGAGCCAAGTTTGAGGCTCCAGTGAGCTGTGATGACACCAATGCACTCCAGCCTAGGTGATGCAATGATACATGCTCTGTAAAATTTTTTTTTAAAACAACAAATTTGAAAAAAAAGAAAATTGTCACAGTGAGAACTGTCAAATGCTAAGAGCATTCTATTTATAATGTATTGACCCTTCATCCACTTTTTTTGATAAAATTGAAATTTTGAAGCCCTTTTCAAATTCTCTCAGACTCATTACAGCACATTTTAACCACAAAATTATACTCACTAGTTTATCAAAAACAAAACTTTATAAAACCATGATCATGAGCCAAATGGAAGAATCTTTTTTCACCTCTACTGGTTCATAAGGGTTAGACCAGGAAGTCAATTTCTACAGCAGATATTGAAGGTCTCTATATGTTTTGGGGCCCCTCATTGGCCAACAATTTAAGTACAGATTTAGTTTACAGATTTTCTGTCACTCATGAGAGTACGTTGAAAGTATTTTCACTCAGGATAAACTTCTGTGACACTGGAAGAAAACAGTTGTAAAAGATATATTTGTTACCTAACACAATATAAAGGAAATATCAGGCTTAATTACTTTATTATACTGAAAATCGAAGTTTATTTTATGTCCCAAGATAGATTAATATGCTTGAATAGCTGGAGTGCTGCCACAGTCTGAAATACCCAGATAATTTCTGACTGTCCCCAGCATTCGTGCTTTCTGATTGTAGTCCTACAGGGTATTGGAAACACACGTATAATCATAAGATCATTACAGAAAAGACTGATTCATTTTAGCCCTCACCTCATTGTGGTGATACCAAGAGTATTTATCAGCCTTTCTGAATAATATTTATCCCACCTAAAGTGTATACAACAGATATTTTTCTGGTGAAACTAATGAATAAATACATATTTCATTGACCACCTTTTGCCATGTACTTTCTCACCACTGACTCTAAACCACTACCCATATTTGTTGTTAGCACACAACAAAAGCACCATAGGATAATTACCCTGTCACTTAGGAAGCAACTGTAACTTCCTTGGTAATGGGATGTTGGTCTGTAGGTGCAATGCAGAAAGTTTCAGAAGACAGAATACTTGCTGATTAATATAAAGAAATGATGATGATTTCTTAAGGCAAATATGAATAGTTTCTAAAAATTAAGACCAATCAGAAATTAAGCCCATATGTGGGAAAAGGCAAGCTGCAAAATAAATGAACTGCAGAGAAACACTAATCCCATATTAGTTAGTCTTCTTACCTTCTCCCTATTAAATAATTTTTAAGCTGTCATCAAGAAGTCAACATACTATGTGACATTTACCATATTTAATTAAAATTAAAGGAATAAGGGAGAGAGTACATACATACACACACACACACACTCACAAACTGTAAATCACCAGAGAAACAGCCAAAAGGAAGGTAGCTAAAGGAAAAAGTAGAAGCTCTTGGGAGCCTGGATAATGCTGATCAACTGGGTAGATGACATCAGTAAAGTGTAAATGCCAAAGTTTATCTAAAACCATCAGTAGATGAGGCGAAGTTGATTATATAAAATTGAAAACTATACTAAAGATCATTACTTTAATGACATACAAAACTATAAATTTAAGAGATTCCTGAAGGAAGTGATTGGAATGAAACTGAATGAAAATCCATTCATAGAGATTTTTTTAAACCACGTCGGGTCAAAGAAAAGCAAGTTCATGGTAAGAAATCATCTTACACTGACAAGGGAGGGACGAATTTTCCTTTTAGCTTTTCCTAGATATGTTTATTTCTTGTTGGTCAATTTTCAGTCTATGGAGTGATTTTATAGTGAGAAATTATTCAGCAAGCTATATGCTTGAGATTCTTTAATTCACTTCTCCTTTTACTGAACCAGACTGTATTCATAAATCACTGAACCTTTGCCACCTTAGTTTTACATTTCAGCTCCAGTATAGTCTTGGGCGTTTTTGCTATTGTCCTAGTCAATTTTTAATTCTGTATGAATGCAGAAGGAAAGATATTTATCTCGAGTAAATGTCAAAAATTACATTTTGAATTAGCATGCTTTGAATTCCTGACCTGTTTTGACCTCTGTTTGTTCCATTTGTGATAGTATATTTGTGATTCAGATACAGTATTTGCAGAAAATCAAGTCTCTGAAAAGTTTCTGTTTTTTAAATGCATCTATAATTAGAGAAAGTTTACAAATAGTTATATTTGAATGTCTTTAAAAAGCAAAGGCTTTCTGTAGACTTTTAAAAATATTTATGCTTCTACCCCAGATTTTTTTGAAAAAGCAGCATTATTGAGGTAATTAAGTAATTAACATACAATGAATTATACATATTTAGTGTGCACACCGTGATAAGTTTTGACATAATTCCTCCATTCCACCCTTTTTTGTTCCCACCATGTACAAGCAACTACTGATCTACTATCAGTCACTAAATATTAGTTAGTAAACACTAAAATTGTACAGAAATGTAATCATACACTATGTGCTTTGTGTATGTTTGTGTGTGTATGTGTAGGCTTCTTTCACTCAACATAAGTATTTTGGGATCCTTCCCATTGTAGCATTTATCAAGAGCTCATTCCTTTTTATTGCTGAGCAGTACTTCATTGTATATGGATATATCAGTTTGTTTATCCATTCGCCTATTGATGAACATTTAGGTTGTTTCCAGTTTGGGGCTATTGCGAAAGAAGCAGCTATGAACACTGTGTACATGTCTTTGTGTAGGCTTTTAGGTGTGGAATAGCTACGTCATATAGTAGGTATGCATTTAACTTTTTAAAGAAACTGCCAAGCCATCTCCCCAAGTAGTTACATGTTTTCAGAATCCTGCCCAGAATATAAGAGGGTCCCAGTTGTTTCATATTTTTGACAACTTCTGGTATGGCCAATCTGTTTAATCTTATACTAATAGGTATGTAATAGAATCACATTATGGTTTTCATTGGCATTTCTTAATGTCTAATGATGGGACTTTTATTGGAATTGCTTTGAATCTATAGATCAATTCAGGAGATATAAAATTTTAATAATAATAATGAATCCTCTGAATCAAGAACACAGTATATTTCTCAACTTCTTTCAGAAACATGCCCTCACTTTTGTTATACAAGTCTTTTACTTCTTTGTCAAATTTTTCTCTATTTCATATTTTAATGCTATTGTAAATATTTTTATTTCAATTTCTGATTATTCATTGCTAGTATATAAAAATAAAATAGACTTTTAATAGTGTGTTTTTATCCTGCAAACTTAGTAAGCTTATTAGTTCAAGAAATTTTTTTGCGTATTTCCTCTGGTTTGCTGCATAATCACTTATCTGCGAATAAAGACAATTTTACTTATTTCGTCTCCATTTGGATGTTTTCTTTCTTTTCCTTTATTACTATAGAACCACTATTACAATATTACATAGAAGTGATAAAAGTCTGGTACCCGATCTTGCTTGCAACTAATCTCAGGGGGAAAGCATTTAGTCTTTCACAATTTTGTATCACGTTAACAACAGGTTTTTAGTATGTGCTCTTTATTCATTTTAGTAAGTTACCTTAAACTCCTAGTTTTCTAAGAATTTTTCTCAAGAATAAATAATGAATATTTTTCAATGCTTTTTCCACATCCATTGACATGATTATGTAGTTTTTCTTTTTAGCTTGTTTTAATGCTTACACTGATTTTTCTAATGTTAAAAGAATCTTGCATTCTTTGTATAAATCCTATTTGGTTATAATTCAGTATCTCTTTTAAGTATTGATGCATTCAATTTGCAAAAAGTACTCATTAAAACTTTGCATTCTCATCATGAAAAATATTGATTTGTAGTTTTTCTTTCCTTGTAATGTCTTCGGCTGAGTTTGTGTCAGGATAATACTGGCTTTACAAAATGAGGGGGAAATATTCACTCCTCTATTCGATGTGAGTTTTGTAATGCTGGTATTTTTTTTTTCTTAAATGTTTGGTAGAATTCACCAGTGAAGCTATCTGGACTAGAGGCTCTCCTTGTACCATAGAAGTTTTTAGCTACAGTTTCAATTTCTCTAATAGATATAGGCTATTCAGGTTAGCTATCTCTTCTTGTGTGAGATTTGGTAGTTTGTGTGAATTTGTTCATTTTATGTTAAATATATTGGCATAAAGTTATTCATAGTATTCTCTTAATATTCTTTTCATAAATTTAAGATCTCTACTGATATTACCCCTTCACTTCTAATATGGGTAATTTGTGGTTTCTGTCTTTTGTATATGTATGTGTGAAGAGTCTGACCAGAGATTTATCAATTTATCTTCTTATAGAATCATTTTTTGGTTTTAATTTTTTTCTATTGTGTTTATGTTTTCTGTTGCCTTGATTTGCACTCTTATTATATCCTTTCTTCTATTAATTTTTGGGTTGAATTTGCTCTTTTTTTCTAGTTTCCTAATGTAGAAAATGAGATTACTAACTTGACACTTCTCTTTATAATATAGGTGATCAATGCTGTAAATTTGTCCTAAGTATGATTTTGGCAGCATCTGACAAATGTTGTTATGCTGAGTTTTAACTCTTACGGCTTTTGATCTATTCCTTGTCTCATAGGTTATTTATAAGTATGCAATTTACTTTCAAATATTTATGGTTTCCCCAGATATCTTCCTGCTATTGATTTCTAATTTAATTCCATTAGTGTGAGAGAACATACTTTGTATGCCTTGAATTCTTTTAAATTTATTGAAATGTATTTTTTTTACCCAGAATATGGTCTACTTTGGTAATGGTCCATTTAAATTTCTTTAAATGTGTAATCATCTGTTATTGGATAAATTACTTCCATAAATGTCAATTAGGTCTTTGGGTCGATTGTGTTGTTGCATCTTCAATTTAGTTGATTGTGTTGTTATATTCTTACTGATTTTCTATCTCCTTGGCCTATCAATTATTAAAATAATGGCACTAACATATCCAACTATCACTGTGAATTTGTCTGTTTCTCTTTATAATTTTTTTCTCTTGACTTTGAAAGCTCTATTGTTAGGTAAGTAAAAATTTAAGAATATTACATATTCTTGATTAATTGACCTACTTCTCATTATAAAATGATCTCTTCATCTCTGATAATATTATTTTCTTTGAAATCTACTTTGTCTGATATAAATACAGCCCTAAGACTTTATATTGCTTATGGTATTACATCCTTTTACTTTTAACCTCTTTGTGTTTTTATATTTGATACATGTTTCTTATAAAAAGATTTTTTATTCAATCTATCTTTACCTATTAATTAGTAAACATAGATTATGTGATTTACTCTGATTATTTATATAGTTGTGTGTATATATTTCATCTGTTATTTGTTTTCTAATTCATCTCTTCTAACCTTCGTTCCCATTTTCCTTTTTATCTGCCTTCTCTTGGATTAATTGAAAAATTTTATGATTATATATCTCATTCGTTTTCTTAATTGTTGCTTTACAGTGTATAGTATACATCTTTGGCTTATCATTGTTGACCTTCAAGTGATATTATGAAACTTCATGTTCAGTTAGTATATATACCTTAAAATAATATGCTTTAATTCTAAGTTCGTGATTTTTGTCATACATTTTACTTTTACATATGTTATAAACCCCATATTACAATGCTATAATTTTTGTTTAAGCAATTTTTTACACTCTAAATAAATTCTTAAAAGAATAAAATATCTGATATGATTACACATGCAGTTTCCATCTCTAATGCTCTTTGTTATTTTGTGCACATTCATATTTCTATTTGTTATTTTTCTTCTGTCTGAAAGACTTTCTGTCAGATATCTTGTAGTACAGATGAGCTGGAGGTGAATATTTTTGCTTTCATTTGTCTTTTGAAAAGACTTTATTGCACCTTCATTTTCTGAAAATATTTTTTTACTGGATATAGAATTCTAGCTGGATAGTTTTTTCTTCCTTCAATACTTAACAATTTTGCATCATTCTTTTCTCATTTACATTTTTTGCAACCAGAAGTCTGTTGTCATCTTTATCTTTTTTCCTCTGTATGCACTGCCTTTTGTTCGTATTCATTTGCATATTTATTGGGTAGCTTTCATGTGCCTGACACTATTTTAGGTATTGGGGTTACAAAAATAAGCAGACAAAATTGCTGCCTTCATGGAACTCACATTCTACTGATGGAGACCGACAAAGAAGAGCATATAAAAGATTTTGGTTAGCAATATGAAGTATAGTTGGGTGGCCAGAAAAGACCTCACTGAAAAGGCAAGTTTTAAATAAAGACTTGAAGAAAAAGAGAATCTACAGAATTGGGGTGTGTAGGTAGTTGGGAACATTCCAAGCAGAAAGAAAAGAAAGCAAAAGTTCTGACATAGGACTATTCCTGGCATATTTGAATAGCAAAGGGTCAATGTGGCTAGAGTGGAGAGAACAATACGGAGGATAAAAAGGACATGGGGAATCAGATCTTAGAGTCTGGTAGGTAACAGTAAGAGACTTGGATGTTTCTGTGACTGACATAGAAAGCTGCTCATTAGACATGATCTGGCTTATGTTTTATCAAGATCATCCTGGCTTTAGCGTTGAGGATTGACTAGAGAAGGTCAGGGACAGAGAAGGGAAACCATCTAACAAGCTGTTGCAATCATCTAGGCAAAAGGTGACTGTGACCGGCATTTGGGGGGTTAAATTCTGGCTTTATTCTAAATGGAAAGCCTACAAATCAGATGTAGGGTGGATAAAAAGAGTGGCCTCAAGGATAACACTAAGAATTTTGGCCTGAGACAGTGAAATAATGGAAAGAAACTGGTGTAGGGAGAATATTAGCAAGATTCTATTTGGACAAGTTGAGTTAGAGATATCTTTGGTTATCTAAGTAGAGAAGTCAAATAGGCTGCCAAGTTCAAAAGAGTCTTTATTAGAGACATAAATACGGAGTCATTATCATATAGATAATAATTGAATAAATGTAACTAGAAAGTAAGGAAAAAAATTTTTTCTAACCTTTGAGGTTAATTGGAGGTGATTCAAAATACCTGTTATTATCATCACAGAGTAAAAGGGCAATCTGCAGAATGGGACAAAATACTTGTCTTTTGGAAGAAGGCATTTGTAATGTTTTCTTCATATACTTTTTAAAGGTTTTCTCTGTGAACTGTTTGATTATGATGTGGTATTGTTTCAGAACTTGGTGTCGTTTTGTTCATGTTTCTGTTTACATTTATTTTACTTTGTGATCACTGGGTTTATTAAACATATGAGTTTAAATTTTCTGTCAATTTTGGAAAAATAGTTGCTTATTATTTCTTCAACTTTTCTTATTTTGCACCTCTCTATCTTCTTCTTCAGGTACTCAAACTATAGGTATATTGTGTCACTTGAAGTTGTCCCACAACTCTACTCTCTGTTTTTTTTTAAAAAAAATTCTCTGAATAACATCTTCCAAATATGTTTAGGCTCTAATACTTGAAACCTGTGAATATTGCCTTACATGGCAAAAGAGACTTGGCAAAGTGATTAAGACTCTTAATATGGAAACATTATCCTGAATTATCTGGATAAACCCTAAATACAACACAAGTGTCTTCATAAGAGAGATGCAGAAAGAGACTTCACACATGAGACGAAGGCAACGTGGTCATCGAAGCAAGATGCTATGCTGCAAACATCAACATGACATTTGGAGGGATGAAACACATGAAATATTATGATACATATATATGTGTATATATATATATATATATATGGCACATAAGATATTAAAAGTGTCTAGTTTCTAATAGGAAAAAGTTTCAGCAATCTCAAAGCGATTCTTTATGTATGTGTGTGTATAGATAGATGGACAGACAGACAGACAGACAGATAGAATAGGTAGATAGATGATACACACATACACACATAGAGATATATAGATATATGTATATCTCTTATTGGTTCTGTCCCTCTGGGGAACCCTGACTAATAAGCTTCTCTATATTTTGCAGGATAAAGTAAACATAATGTCTTAGTCTGTTGTGTTGCTATAAAGTAATACCTGAGGCTTGGTAATTCATGAAGAAAAAGGGATTATTTAGCTTACAGTTCTGCAGGCTGTATAAGAAGCTTGGTGCAATCTCCTCAGGGATTGAGTAAACTGTTTCTATTGTACAATATGCCTATTCAATCATTTCTTCTAAAGTCAGCTCCCTTCTCCTTCAATCCTTCTTCATCCTGCTTCACATCCCTCTTAAGCTTGGGATAACATTATGTATCCAATGTTTTCTTAGGAAGGAAGAGAAAATGTTCATGTAACAGAGAGTGATAGAAAAACGCCTGTAATCCCAGCACTATGGGAGGCCAAGGTGGGAGGATTGCTTGAGCTCAGGAGTTCAAGACCAACCTGGGCAAGGTAGTGAGACCCCATCTCTAAAAATAAGTAAGGCAGGGCCTTACTGACAAGGCCGTCTGGTGAGGCCCTCAAGCTGCTTCCACTTATGGCAGAAAGAAAAGAGCAGCCAGCATGTCCAGAGATCACATGGTGAGAGAAAAAGCAAGAGAGAAGAATAGGGCAAATGCTAGGCTTTTTTTGTAGCAACCAGTTCTTGGAGGAACTGTCATGAGAATTAGTAAAGCAAAAACTTGCTTAGTCCTCCCCTCCCAGGGAGAGCATTAATGAAGGATTCACTATTCATAAAGGGTCTACCTCCATCTCCCAAACACTTCCCATTAAGCCCCACCTGCAACATTGGGAATCAAACATCAACATGAGATTTGGAGGGGTCAAACAAACCAAAGTATAGCACATAATGTATTAAAAGTGTCTGTTTTTCTAAAAGGAAAAAGCTTCAGCAATCTCAAGGCCATCCTTCCTCTTGGCAATACACATGTATTTTTAAGTGGCATTATGAAGATATTATTATTTGTACTGAAAAGCCCACAGCAGATATTTTAGGGATAGCTCAGAATTTTAACCCAAACAGGGAAAGTGTATGGGTGTTTTTTTTAAAGGCTTGTGGATTAGATACTAGGAGAAAACAAAGCCTCGGGCATCCTTTAAACAGCATAAGGTAGAACCTTCCTAAACTGCCTGTAACTAGACTTGAATGATAAAACAATGTCTCTGAAAAAAATTGAGTCAGACTAAAAATTAATCAGGTAAATCAGACTTTAGGAGATAAAGAATTGTATTGATAGACAAAAAAGCAGTAGAAAAGGTGAAATTATCTTTTGTTTCATTAAAGACAGTGCTCATGTCTTTTTACCAGGTGGGTATCAAAAACAAATGAAATATCATGGCTTCAAATATATGTTTCTTCACTGCACGATTAACCTAAACCTCAAGGTTGAAACTTCCAGCAAGGTTTTCTTTTGGAAACTCATAACTATTTCAAACATTAGATATTAAAAATTTAAAACTAACCATAACTCTTTACCCAGATCAATAAAATAACAGTTGACTTCAATTAACCTCTTTCCAGTCTTTTCACCCTAGTCATGTTCTTTGAAGAACATTGATAGTTGGCTTTGCAGAAACAGAACAGTCCTGTCTTTTCAGATATGCTTTCTTTCCCAGTTATTTTTAAATGGGAAGATAATTGCTGCGATAGTTTAGAACTAAAGGTACACTTGAAATTAAAAAAAAAAGGCAGTTGCTAAGAATCAATTAAGTTTACTCTCTCTAGCTATGCAATAAGCCAGAAATTAATGGGTGAGGTTAAGCCAAGGATAAAAAAGCAGAAGTCAAGACTTCACAAGGATGCCTTTCCTGGGATTGTCAGCCATCGGTAGGTAGTGCTAGTTGTTGGCCGGCCCCTTCCTCCTACACTCTGTTAATTGTTTACATTAACTCCACCCCACTACTGCCCATTTCCAGCTACCAGTATACTTGTTTTCTATGCCTGCTTCCCCTTTAATAATTCAATACTGTCCCCATCTAAGGGGCTCTCTCTTCATATGATATTTCTGTCATCAGCTCTAAAGCTCATGCTACAATTGAAATTAAATCTCTAATCAAGTTATTTATTTAAATTCCCCTCTAACTTTTCCAAAATAATAAAGGCCACTACTCCTGTTCAAGCAGCAGGCTTTAATTTCATTTTAATTACCTTCAGAGCCTTTCATTCAGGGAAACTTTCACTTGGTTATCACATAATTCATTCTCTTGCTGCATTAATTGATAGATCCTAATTATTTATTTTGCTCAGTAGCCTGTTAACTTTCAAAGCTATTTTTAGTCTCTGCTATTTTGGATTCACTTGAAATTTCTTCAGGGATTGAGGAAAATATTTCTATTGTACAATGTGCATATTCAACCATTTCTTCTAAAGTCAGCTCCCTTCTCCTTCAATCCTTCTTTTCTTCATCCTCCCTCACACACCTCTTAAGTTTGGGGTAACATTATGTATTCAATGTTTTCTTAGGAAGGAAGACAAAATGTTCATGTATCAATGTCTGCAATAGAGAGAAATAGATCAAGGTCTGTAATCCCAGAACTTTGGGAGGAAAAGGTGGGAGGACTGCTTGAGCTCAGGAGTTCCAGACCAGCCTGGGCAACATAGTGAGACTCCATCTCTAAAAATACTGTAAAAAAGTAAAAACAGACTTTGCATCTAAAAGCCTCCTGTTTTTCGAATGATGACTTCAGTGAATAGTGAAAATGAAAACTAAAATAAGGCAAATAATCTGATGCCCAAAGCACAGATGCTATTTCAAAATCTATAGAGAAATAAATTTTATCAGTAACTACAAGTTATAAAAGTACATGTAATTTTGTTCCATATTAGAAGCCTTGAAATTACTTTCAAATTGTTATGAGAAAGAAATATTCTATAATCTTTTAAAGATGATTTAAATACATTTTTATAAATATATCATTTTATTTTTTCCTTTATACCTTTAAATAAAAACTGTGTGTGTGTGTCTGTCTGTTCATAGCTATCACATAATATTGCAATTTTGAAATGGGAGAGTTCCTTGACCCCCTTGCAGGATTTGTGACAGGGGTGTGGCTCACTTGCTCAGACACTGTGTGCTTAAATCCCTTTTGGGAGGCGGAGCTTGCAGACGGATAGGTGCAGCAGCCTGGGTGAGTGCTTTTGGGATCCAGCTCATGTTAACATCTCGGGGTGTGTTACAATTAATGCTCTTTTAGCAGTTGCTGTTCGCAGACAGCTAAGTGTTAAACCAGCTCAGTGGAGGGTCAGGGTAATAGCCTTTTGCACCCTGCCCTCTTGGTACCGAGGTCCAGGAGGAATCAGGTCACACACATACTTGAAGTATGGTGAATGTAGGGATTTTATCGAGTGTTGGAGGTGGCTCTTAGTGGAATGGATGGGGAGCTGGAAAGGGGATGGAGTGGGAAGATGATCTTCCCCTGGAGCTTGGCCATCCCACAGCCAATCTCCTCTCCAACAGTCCCCAGCCAAACTCCTCTTGACATTTAGGCACTCCTCTTCTCTCCTTCTCTGCTGTGTTGCTCTGCCACTCTGCTGCTCTTCTGCTCCTTGCTCATCTGCTTGTGGAGCCTGGGGTTTGGGGTTTATATGGGGGCAGGATAGGGGAACATAGTGGGCCAAAAGGCAACATTTGAGTGCAAAAACAGGAATGCCTGTTCTCACTTAGGATCTTGGCTTCCAGGCTTGAGGGTGGGGCCTTTGCCAAAGAACCACCATCTTCTACCCAGTATTTCCCTGCCTCCCATCCATATATATTTCTTGTATTACATGTGTAATGTGTGTGACATGAACTAAGGGCTTGCATTTGCTTGTGAACTTCATCTTCCTCTTCCACAGCAAATGTGCAATGGATGTTTGCTCTTATTACCTCCTCATTCTACTTTTCAGTTTCCCAGTGATCCCCCCGTGTCATGGTGGCTACCCACCCCTCAACACCACTCAGATAAGAGGAATAATAATAATTGTTTATATAGAACACATCTTGTGTCAGACACTCTCCTACATATTCTTTAATCCTCACAACCATCTTATGAAATCGGCACTATTATCATCCCCATTATCCCCATTTTGCAGATAAAGGAAGAAGCCACAGAGTGGCTAAGTAAGCTGCCCAAAGTAATACAACAGCAGGCTGCAGAAGTAGAACTTGAATCCAGGTGTCTGGGTCTCTGAGCCTGCTCTCTGTAACCATTACACTGTCCCTGTTACCTGTACATTCACTTTAGCTATGACCGGCAGTTTTCGATTTTGCTTGTATTTATTTTCATTTTTAAAAATTTCCAGACAATTCAAATCCCGATCCTCTGAAAAGATTTCCGCAGTCAAATGAATGCATGAAGTACAAAGTGTAATTTTATAACAATGTTTCTGAGATGTTTTTCTTCCTAAATTTAATACTTGATTTCTTTTATTTCCTTTCAAATGAAAACTTAGTTATATTGTAAACTGACATGGAAGATTCTTTAAATTACATTATTCTTAAATGCAGGTAGTATAATACAACTATGTCATGTAATATATTGTGCAGCTATAGCTTTTCTGACACCTGTCCTTCTATTTTCAAAATTCATCAGAAAGGATTTGGTTTTAAAAAATCATAAGTTCCCATAAGCTTTCTGGCAAAAATAATGATTAAGAACTTAATAAGGAAACATGACATGAGACCTTTACCAGGTCAATGGTGTATATTTGATTTGAACTTTATTTTCTGAAGCATGTATCAAGAAGACTTTTAGAGTATTTTTAATTCAAAAATTAATTAAAAATCATGTACTTTAAACATAATTTCTTAGGGCACTACAATACCTTAACAAATGTTAAATAACAAAAAATAACCATTCTCTCTATTTCCATTAGAAACTCACTCTCTCACTTCTTATGTAATCTACATCTTATACCAGTTACACCTTAAAGCTAATAGGAGAGAATTCTGTTCATAGCTATCACGTTATACTCTAAGTTCTTTCATACTTAAAGTTTCCTTCACTATTCATGCTCCTGGACCAACTCATGATTTTTTAAGTATCGTAATGTGTTCCATCCCTCATTCAGTGTGTGCATGCAAAATAGTCATTTAACTTTTCTGTTTCTTTTATATGAGAATTTAACATTTACTTAACAAGAGTTTGAGGATTAAGTGATTTAAGTGTGTTTTGCATTCACTCCCTGGTATTAATTAGCATTCCATTATGTGTGTAAAATGAATAAATGTTTTCAGCATGTAGGATTACAATGATGTCAGTCATCCTATTGTTTTTGTCACTCTCCAAAACAAGTGTTATAAGAGTCATGGAAAAACAGGGAACTTTCCTTAATTCTTTAAGAGGACTTCTCATTGAACATCATCTTTTTATTTTCTTTATCTCCTCTTCTCTTTATCACTTCCTATGTCTTCTTTTTGTTGACTGTCATTTAATTCAGCCAAAAGAGCCATTAAAAAATTAAAAATTTGTAAAGCCTCTAAGAATCCAAAATAGACAACTTTTAGTTCATCAGGTTTCGGCTTCAAGATACTGAATGTATATAAAAGGATTTATGAATTAGAGCGACCTAAGCTCAGATGTTGTTTTGTCACTTAATAGCTTTTGACCTCAAGCAAGTTCATCCATTCTCTCAATCACTCACATATTAATTGAGAGCTTACTATGAATGAGGCATTGTTCTGAAAAATATAGCTGTTTACCTGACATATCCTATTCTCAATTTACATATGTTATTATCATTTTACTAATCTATTAAAATGGGACCATACAGAGTTCAGAATACAGGTTCCCTCTGAAATGACAGTGTTTCCTGGAATCACCCTGTGGAAGCTGAAATTAATGACAAATTCAATATAAAATTATAATTTACAGATACAATGTAGGAGTAATAACAAGCCCATTTTAAAAACAGTCCTCTACTTGTTTTGCTTCCTTTTTAATGAAAAATTACTTAAATAGCAATAATTCAAAGTTTCACAGCAAGACTGTTATCTAGGTCCAGGTAAGCCTAATGTTACTGTTAAAAGTATCTTATAGTTGATTTCACAGTAGGAGAATTTCTCCCAATGGTGAATATCACTATCAAAATACTCTGAAAAACTTTGTGATAAAATCATAGTAATGATTGGTGGAGCTATAAAAAAGAATAAGAAAAGTCTAAGGAGAGAGGGAGGACACGTATTTTCTGTCATCTCATGCATATTAGAATAGGTACAAAAAAGAAACGCAATTGTCATGGAATTCTTGGTAACTCGCTGCAGGCAGTCCTTGCCTTCAGAAGCCAATTTATAAAATTCCCAGTTGATGCAGTGGTGATTATTCAAACCATAAAAGCATTAACCTAGGGTCTCTTTACATAGCCAGCTTCCCTAGTGCATTTCAAATAAAGTTTGACTTACACCTGACTTTTCAGAGCAAGGGTATAAAAAGAAATAAACCTCCAGTTAACAGTGTCTACAATTCAGTTTGGAAAAGAGATTCATGTTTTCACATACACTCAGGGAGAAGCTTATTATTGGTCAGCCACAGACACATTGACCTTGAAAGGGCTATCACAGAATTCCATTCATGTTCTGTCTGCTTATGATAGGGGAATTAAAAAAGACATAATAGGTGTAACGGGGTAACACATGGCCTCATCTTTAGTGCTTTACACTTGATGGGTGGCCAAAGTTCTAGAGAGAAGCACCCCCTTCCCTTTTTTTGTGCAAGACTAGATGGGAGGTTCCCTGGTGGGTCAGTTATGAAACTTCTGATCTATTCAGAAGAGAAAATTTAAAAACCAAGCATATCAACTCAATTAGTATAAAAGAGCCAAGTGAGAATCATAGCAAACCAGCCTAATCTCATACATAGAAATATGTTCAAAGAAACTTAGTATCTAAAAACCGAATCTAGGGCAAAGAGCTCATTTCATGTTTGTAATTTTAAAAGAATTCATCTGACATTATAATAACACTAGTAGTTTAAGAGACAAGATTGCCCTAGGACAGGGTAATCTTGTCCTGTACAATGCCTTTGGCAGTGCACATAGAATTACAGAAAAACATGTGAGATGAAAGTAGATAGGTGCACACCTGGGTATGCTGATTGCCAGGTTGAAGTTTATACATATACAATGTGAAATATGGGATGGCCCAAAAACATTCTCAAATTTTCATGGTCAAGGAGAGGTATTTTGAGTTCCACAGAGGATACAGTTTTCTCTGGTGACTACCACTAGATTATCATTTAAATGACCACTTCAGAGAAGCAATGGTTCAAGTCATTAATAACCATTTAGCATAATTCCTTACATCAATTTTGATTCACTTGAATTGATTTACTTCAATTTACTTTCCTTTAGAAAGCAGTTTTATTCAAAAATTGAGAAAAATATCCACATGCCTTGACATGTTGGATATTTCCAGTAGAAAATTATTTGTTGAAACATTCAGAAGATAAAAATCTATTCTGGAATGAATCACTAAGAGTAGCTTGCAAGCATTTTGTCCTAGATCTTATAGGGATCATAATGTAATACAAGATGTGGGAACCCATAATGAAACTAGGGGATAAATTAAATTGAAAGAAGTAAACAATAATCCAGCCCATACTCCCTAAATCATCAGCAGCTCATCTTAGAAATGTTTTGCAGACTAGATGTGGAATGGGTCATCGGAGGGAAAACAGATCAATCTTCCCCTGTGATTTGGAGCCATTACATAGGTATTACTGGTAGAGTTATTAATATTTTTGAGTCTTAAGAAATATGGTAGAAAAATGTCTACCCCAGATTGGAGAAAATCCTTGAATACAAATGTTGTATCATGTAGAGTAAATAATGCTAACTGCTATAACATACATACAAACACACACACAAAAGCTGATTCCAATGAATTAGCAAAATAGTTTTGTCACTCATACCCCTTAGGTAAATTCTGATACAAGCAAGTTTTCCTCCTCTATCTTGTAGTTATGCCATTTACAACATGCAGCCTCCAAGTACATCATATAGGGAAAGAGAGAAAAGGAGGAGACACAACAGCTCACAACTTTCTTAACCTGGAAGTAACACGTCACTTTGTTCCTAGACCATTGGCCAAAACTAGCCATTCGACCCCATAGGTAGCGGGGGATAAATGTCATGGAAGTATATGAGTACCTGGGAAGCAAATGTTCTCACCACAAGATGGGATTAAAAATAAACTAGTTTCTTGTTCTGTGAGAAGTAACAGGACACGAACAGGAAAAGCAAGTTTGAGTCAAATTGTGTAGATCTTTAATAACAAGCCAAGGATTTATCTTGTAAGTAACTAAAAGTAATTAAAGATTATGATAGTCCAGAAGGAATAATAAATGAAGAGAGTATGACTAGGGGAAAGTCTCATGTCAGGCTACAAAAAATGGGGAAAAAAATTCAGTGATACAAATAATTTCCTCTACTTTGTTTCTTTAAGACTGGGTTTATATGTTTACTTTATTCCCTCTAGCCTTTCACAACAAACGTGTGTGTGTGTGTGTGTGTGTGTGTGTGTGTGTGGTGTAGTATCAATAAATATATATTGAGAGCATAATACATGCCAGGCAGTGTTAGCTACTTGGGATGCACAAGTGAGTAAAAGAGACAAAAAATACTGTCCTGTGGCAGTGGGAAATTTTCTGATTTTTTTCTATCCCTAACCAATGAAATGACCAAGATATTATACTCCTATAAGCATGCTTCTGTAAGGAGCAATTTACCTGAAGTTTCTCTAATTCGCATTAAATAACCTTCTCCGTAGAGACAGTGCATATATTTTGGGGTTTGGTGTTTTTTGTTTGTTTTTTACTTTTATTTTAGGTTCAGGGGTACACGTGCAGGTTTGTTACATGGGTAAATTGCATGTTGCTGAGGTTTGATGTGCAAATAATCCCTACGCCCAGGTAATAAACATAATACATAATAGTTTTTCAACACTTGCCCCTCCTACTCTCACCCACCTTCCACCTTCCCCACTCTAGTAGTCCCCAGGGCCTATTGTTCCCATCCTTGTGGCTATGTGTATTCAATGTTTAGCTCCCACTAATAAGTGAAAACATGCATTATTATTTTCTGTTCCTGTATTAGTTTGCTTAGGATAATGGCCTCCAGTTGCATCCATTTTGCTGCAAAGGACATTATTTTATTCCTTTTTATGGCTGCATAGTATTCTATGATGTGTATGTACCACATTTTCTTTATCCAGTCCACTGTTGATGGGCATCTAGGTTGATTTCATGTCTTTGCTATTGTAAATAGTGTTGCAATGAATACAAAACATACAAGTATTTTTGAAACAAATATTATTTGAAACAAAAATTATTGAGCAAAAACTAACAATAAGTTGAAACAAAGATTATTGAAGAAAGGTTCTTTCAAACAAATACTACTGAGCTGGTGAAAAAAAATAGACTACTTTTCCCCTAAAATCTTGATCTAAAATATTAAGATTAGAAAAAATCCATCTGATAAAGACCATAGAAACAAAGCTGTTTCTCAAAATTAGGTTAATTTTCTTGCTGCAACAAGGGAGGGCACTTCAAGGCAACTGTGTAATGTCTCTCATCAAACAAAAGAAGAAACAGCTACTTTAAAATTTGGGGGAAGGGTGGAGTTTAAGTAAAATTTAAATGACACAAAGTTTTGATAGGCTCAAAGAAAGGACTTGTTATAAATAGGTTTATATAATGTCTGGACTGCAAAGTGGAATGATGTTTCTGAAAATTACAAAGACAAAATACATTTGGAAAATTCTGTTCATAACCCTTTATCTAAATCTCTGAACATGGGTTAACAATTCAGGTTGTTTCGATGTGACTCAAATCCCCTATGCAAAGTCGGCTATTCCTTTCTTACTGACATGGTTTTTAAATAGCAAAGTTTCTGACAGTCTATGATTTTATATAACAAAATAATCTATCAGCACTATGTTCTTTAGTTAATCAGTTTTGTAGGTTAACAGGTTAATCAGTCTTTGCAGGTTTCTCAGCCCCACTTTCCTGAGGCCTACATAGAATTACCTGCAAAGAGGCAATGGGGAATTATAATCTCTCCCCTCTCCTTTACCCAATATCTTAAATATTTATTGAACACTTACTATAAACTATTTGTATGCTACACAAAAGAAAAAGAAAAAAACTCAAAACAAATAAAAATGGCCCCTGCCTTAAGGGAGCATCCCTTGCTTCACATGAAAATGATAAATGAATCACACTGGAGAATACCCTTTAGATGGGATGATTTCTCTAAGTATTTGTATCTTTTTTTTTTTTTGAGGAGGAGTCTTGCTCTGTTGCCCAGGCTAGAGTGTAGTGGTGCAATCACGGCTCACTTTAGCCTCCACCTTCCAGGTTCAAGCAATTCTCCTGCCTCAACCTTCCAAGTAGCTGGAATTACAGTTGCACACCACCAAACCTGGCTGACTTTTATGTTTTTAGTAGAGATGGGGTTTCACCATGTTGGCCAAGCTGGTCTTGAACTCCTGGCCTGAAGTGATCCACCCACCTTGGCCTCCCAAAGTGCTGGAATTACAGGCGTGAGCCACTGAGCCTCCTGGACAGATTTTTTATCTTTTGTCCATCTGACTGACATATTTCTGTATGTATATACATATTCTGTATGTATATAAAAGATGAAATGAATAATTTGCCAATGTTGCTATAAGCAAGGATTCAACCAGAAAAAAAACAGCTTCAAACTGGTCTGTCGGCCCAGTCATAGTGATACTGAAGATATTAGGCTGATGCAAAAGTAATTGCGGTTTTTGTCATTGAAGGTAATGCAAAAACCATGATTACTTTTGCACCAACCTAGTACATAGGAACTTTCCAGCCTGAGCATTGAGGGAAAGGGAGTTGTTTCTCATCCTTCTTCTAATTAGAAGGACATTCCCATTTGCTTTGATTTATCTAATTACTAATCATCCTTCGAATTTCCTATATAGTCCTATCTCCTCTGCTGATCCTTCCCTGATTACCAAAGGCCACATTGATTTCTCTTGTCTGTGAGTTGCTTTTGTAGTTGGAATCAATATCAACCAGCCTAAACTCATTGTTCTCTATTGGCTCATTACAAATGTTCTAAGGAAAGCAGGTTTACTGGTGTATTTCCTTGTGAATATGATATTGTATGAGTCATGAGCAATACATAAAGTAGACAGCTATAATTCATTGTCAGGTTCCAGCCCAAGCTGAGGTCTGAGGGGAGTCAGTGGACAGGAGGCAAGTAGTTGAAACACTTGTTGGGGCTGGTGTAGGCAGGGCGTACATTATTATGCACCTCTCTCTCTCCGTCAGCCTTTGTCTCAGCCGCCTGCTCTGGCTGCAGCCCCTCTCAGCAGCCACCTCCGTGGTTGCTGCCACCCCAACACCTGCTGCTGTACTTTCCAATATGCTCACCACTTCTTGGCTCGGATGGCCCGGAGAACCACTGAGGGGCCCTAGGCAGGTGAAACATGGCTTTGCTATGTGCCTCTCTCCCCATCTGACTCTGCTGGCAAAGGCACGCTCCTTCTTGGTGCTGTGCACTTCCAGGTGCTTCAGCACCTTCTCCATGCTCATGGTGGACCCATCCACTCCTGCTCATGTCTCCACCAGAGCCCATCTGAGCAGCACAGCTGCCACATGTTACCACAACCCATGTTGCGGCCACATGGCCGACCTGGAATCATTGGGGTCCGAAGGCTCACTCACCTCGGGATCCTGCCGACTATGCCAATCTTTGCACCTTGGCATTGGCCACTTGGGTCCCTGCTTATGCACTGTGTATCTCTCCCATACCTGAATACATTCTGGGGAGAGGATGTTTCACACAGCTTGGCAGCTGTCCTGTCTATCATGAATTTGATGGACCACTTGACAACAAAATTGGGACAGTACCACTATGTGGTGAACTTAGCTAACATGTTCTCTTCCAGAGAGCCAGGAACAGTTTGCCTTCATGGGAAGGGTGACAGTGAACTTTCACAGTGTTGCTGCAGGGCTATGTGCATAGCCCCACCATATGTAATGGCCTCGTTGTCATGGATTTAGCCACCTGGAGATGTCCAAAGGGAGTCTGCCTATTTCATCATGTTGATGATATTATGTTAACCTCTGATTCTCTTGTAGATTAGAAGCAGTGGCACCCCTCTTGCAATAACATTTGATAGCATGTGGTTGGGCCATCAATGAATCCAGGGTCCAAGGTCCTGAATTGTCTGCCAAATTCCTAAGAGTCGTATCCCCAGTCCACCATAGTGAGGCAGCTGTAGACCTCTGTCAGCCTCCCAGGATATTGGCGGGCATTTGTGCCCCATTTGGCTCAGATGATAAAACCATTGTACTGGTTGACAAAAAAAAAAAAAAAAAAAAAAAGCAGGCTACCTGAGATTGGGATAATGAGGCTGAGACAGCTTTTCTGGCAGCTAAGTGGGCTATTCAGCAAGCACAGACCCTATAAGTGATTAAGCTGGGGCACCCATTTGAACTTAACATGCATGTAACCACAGATGGTCTATGGCAGTACATGGAGCACTTTAGAATGCCAGTAGGCTTTTGGGCCCAACTTTGAAAGGGAGCTGAGCTCTGGTATTCACTGATAGAGAAGCAGTTAGCAGCTGCATATTCCACCCTTCAGGCTCATAAGAGGGTAACGGGATGGGCTACAGTCATCATGCAGACAACTTACCCAATAGCAGGATGGGTATGTTCACGAGTAATGACCCCCTAGACTGGGACAGCACAGACATCCACTTCATCAAAGTGGAGTGCCTACTTAGAACAGCAAATTATGCTGTTTACAAGCCCCTTAGCAGCAGAATTACAAGAAGTCTTGGGACCTGTAGTCCTAATGCAAGATAAGGCCATGGGGCCTGAAGCACCCCTAGACCTGAGCCATCACCATTTAAAAAGGGGCAACTCCCAATTCCTGATGAGTCATGGTATATGGATGGGTCTAGCTGGGGTGCTACTGCTGCCTGGACTGCTGTCATCGTCCAGCCTAGTACTGACACCATATGGTTTGATACTGGGTGTGGACAAAGTAGTCAATGGGTTGAACCCAGAGCAGTATAAATGGTGATCACCAAGGAAGTGACACCTATAGTAATCTGCACTGATAGCTGGGCAGTTTATCAAGGCTTAACTTCGTAGTTAACTACCTAGAAGCTGCAGAATTGTCTAGTTGGTCACTGGCCCATGTGGAGCCAAGCTATGTGGTAAGACCTATGAGAAGAAGGATGACCTCCTCCAACCAGGCAAGGGGACTAACAGTAACCTGTTGTCGCCTGCCCCCTAGCTGACCCATAGCATCCATGATGGATGGGTCTAGTTAGTAAGAGAGCACATAGTACCCCCACCACATGCACCACGATATCAAGCCTGTGTATCAGACCTGTGTGCCCAGAGCCTATGTGTCAGCCTGGGTATTGGGCCCGAGAGCCCAGAACCTATGTGTCAAGCCTGTGTGTTGGACCTGTGTGCCCAAAACCTATGTATCAGGACTATATGTCAGACCTGTATGTCCAAGGCCTATGTCTCCCTGAGCCTAGGGCATGGAGTGTAAGGAAAATGGATGTGCTTCAGTAAAGAATAGGCCAAGGTAAACATCCAGTGTAGCATAACACAGCAAGTCTGGACTGCAGGCACACAATTCTGTGCATTATGTAACCTGTTTGTGTAAGCTCATACCTAGCTCTGAGCCACTATTGTCTGTGAGTAATATAACTTCATTGGTGACTCTGTAAAGGGGAGCCAGCCATCTTGCAGGCAGACAGAGAGAAAGCCAGCCAACTTGCAGGGGGATGGGGGGAGCCAGAAAGCAGCAAGCGTGCCAGGGCATGCAGCTGCAGGTGTGGGGTGGCAGGAGCCACAGAGCCAGCTGCTGAGAGGGGCTGTGGCCACAGCAGGCAGCCAATACAAAAGCTAACAGAGAGAGGCTCATAATAATGCCATGTTTCACCTGCCTACAGCCCCGAGTGTTCTTTCAACTATCTGCCACCCATCCACCTATTCCCAGCCAACCTCAGCTTGGTCTTGAACCTGACATTGGTGTTCAGCTTTATATCCCAAGAAATTAGCTGAGGGTATTTCACTAAAAGTCTGTTGAATGGACTGATAGGCAGATAGATGTAATTCATTACATTGTTTGTGATAAATGACTTTGTGCCCCTTTTATCAGGTTATATTTTTTAAAGTGGCAATAAATTGTAGTTTACGTATTTGCAATCATTTCAAAGTCACTGATCCAAATGGAATACTGGGCTGGGCGCAGTGGCTCATGCCTGTAATCCCAACACTTTGGGAGGCCGAGGTGGGTGGATCACCTGAGGTCAGGAGTTGAAGACCAGCCTGGCCAACATGGTGAAACCCTGTCTCTACTAAAAATACAAAATTAGCTGGGCATGTTGGCTCATGCCTGTAATCCCAGCTACTCGGGAGGCTGAGACAGGAGAATCACTTGAATCTGGAAGGTGGAGGTTGCAGTGAGCTGAGATCATGCCATTGCACTCCAGCCTAGGTGACAAGGGTGAAACTCTGTCTCAAATAAATAAATAAAGAAAGAAATAAAGAAATAAATAAATAAAAATCTGGATTCCTGACATTTGAGGGGAAACCTAAATTCCATTCTTTACTCAAGAAGCATAATGAATGGTTTCCTTGAAAAAAAATATGTAGCTAATGGGCATATTTGAGAAGGAGAAATACATATATTGGAATAACAAAGCAAAATAGCAAAATTGGAATAACTCAAGCCTTAGAAAATTGTAGGAAGATTTTTTACTTCTTACAAAAGATTAACCAATTTAGCCTAATTTCTTTAGGTTGACATAGTGAAATATAAGTTAGGAGATCAACTGAAGAAGGAGGAGTGGTGGGGTAAAGGACAATAATGACATGGTGGTGGTGTTTATAGTTGGGACAGTAAATGCAAAAGAAAGTTAATAGACATAATAAACAGCTTTCTGGTGCTGAACCTTAGATTTGGCTATTAAAACTTAGCTTTCAGATGACAAGTTAATCATGATAATTAATAGTAAGAACAATCATTTTTAATGGCGGGATCTATTTTTTCAGTTTTGGATGTCATGGGTCTATAATATGTAAGGGCTGACTGACGGAAATAATAGTTCTACCTAATTCTCTTGATTGCCATTTTGCCTTGAGATTAACATGAGCCTCATAGACTTGCTGAAAAGACATTGCTCAAAAGAGGTTGTGTTTCACCCTTGGGAAAACACATTCAGAGTTAATACCCTGAATGACCTGAAGAAAAAAGAACCTACCAGTGTCCTTAAGTCTGGGTCAATAGAAACCAAAATAAGCGAATTCCTATCAGACTCGTCAACTCCATAAATGATACACGTTGTATGACTTGAGGTCAAAGATGGATAATATCCTCAATGCAGAATAACATCCTGACCCTTTCCTTCCTTTCCACCATCTCCTCTTGCTGCTCTCCCCTTTCCTTCTCTACTTTTAGTCCCTAGTGGTTTAACAGTTATTTATTCCATGAGGCTGAGCCATAATGTGGTTCTTTTCCTTTGAATCCAAGGATACCCACAAATTAAAAAGTTAATAACTTCCAAGGATTCCAGAGGCACTGCTTTAAAACTCTGCTATCGTTCCTATCTCATTTTTTAAATTAGTTGCATGTGTCCTTCCTTCTAGTCTTCTTAAGAGCAAGTGTTTGTATGTCTCACTCACTTGGATATCATTCATGATACCTTTCAAAGTACCCTATATGGAGTAAGAGCTGAATAGATGCCTACTGGTTTTAATTAAATAATGCCAGAAAATTATAGAATTTCCAAAGTCAGCAGATAACTCTTTTTTCCTACTTTCCCATCAAATATTCACATGGCTTAGAGGTCACCTGAAAACACCAAATTGCATCCCTGAAACTCTCTAATCCAAGGAACTGACTTCTAGTCATTCATTTTCTAGGACCTCTTTTTCTGCAACCAATGTGTCTGAAATCTATCATGCTCCTATTAAAATGTAAAGTCTCAAGGGAAAAGATATTGAAACTAAAGAAAGAGACTCTTTTTATACTGTGGACAGAGGAGACCATGAGGGAGCCCAATCTCAAGGCCTGCAGCTTTTGGGAGGGCAGCTGAAGGGAGACAGAGATCACATCAGAAGCCAGAGCATTCTCATCTAATGTGGGGCTGGAAAACAGAGCCAGATGTCCTGAACAATGAAAAGAGATGAAAATCAGAAACCAACAAGGAGTCCCAACTGAAAACCTATAGCAAATTCCCTGAAGGTTCCCAGCCAGAGAGGATGAAGCAAAATCCCCTGGGGAGTTTCTTCAAATCAAATTATAAGTCCCTCCAAACACCTAACGGCATTATCAGGGGAGGAAAATCTACGGAGTATATTTTGAAAAAGTTCTCTTAAAGTTTGAAAGCAAGAATGACCACATTTTCTCTACCCCATTCTGTATCTACACAATTTTCCCAGGTAAGGATTACTAGAATAGACAAGAAGAATAACACGAATATGAGACAATGTATCATAGTGAGTAAGTACTAATTTCTAGTCAGGGGTGTCCAATTTTTTTGCTTCCTTGGGCCACAGCAGAAGAATTGTCTTGGGCCACACATAAAATACACTCACACTAACGGTAACTGATGTGAAAAAAAAAAGACAAAAAAAGAATCTCATAACGTTTTGAGAAAATTTACAAATTTTTGTTGGGCCGCATTCAAAGCCATCCTGCGACCCATGGGCTGTGGGTTTGACAAGCTTGTTCTACAGTAAAACTACCATTTGTTTAAATTTCAGCTCCACTAGGTGAGACCTGGATAAACTGGAACTATAAAACTTAGCCTCTTTGAATTCCAGTTTCGTTATCTATTGAATAGAGATAATTGTAGTACCTGTTGTTGTGAGAAATGAACGAGATAATCCCTCCAAGGCACTTGAGACAGTGCCTTGCATAGAGTAGAGCTCAATAAATGTGGGTTGTAAATAGTAAGCATGATAGAAATTAAAAGCAAAATACCATGATAGTACAGGGTTTTGTTCAGAGAAGGTCAATGGTATAGGTAAGGAAGTGGAAATGGAGGCAGCACAAAGCATGTCCAAGATGCAGCCCTCTTCAAAGCAAGTGAGCCAGAGCCACCAGAAAGCTCTTTGAGGTCAGGGATGGTCTCTTGTTCACCACTTTATACCTTGTATTTATTATAGCACTCAGTAAATCCTTTTTAAAATAATAAGCAAAATTAGTCTTTAGATGGCATTATGTGATGTCAATTCAACATCACCATTTCAGCAATACTAAACACAACAAAAGAAACCTGAGGCAGCAACTTCTAAACAAAGATAGAGGCCCCATTCACAGGCCATGAACTTCACAGTCAAATTTTGGGTCACTTGAAATCATAGGAAATAGTACCTCCAAGATCCTTCTTAGGCATTTTTTAGTACAGAAGAGAAAATCAGGCAGAGGTCACAGAAATTACTGATAACTACTGTTCAAATAATTAGGGTAAGTCTGTCTGTCTGCTGTGGGTTACAAAAACATCTTGGCAAACTATAAATGTTCACCTGTTCTCAATATTCAATACCCTGAGTCCCCTCATTCCTTTCTGCACAAGACCTAACATTAAGACAAGAACATTTTTAAGTTATCTAGGTCTCTGTGGAACAATAATCAGCATGATGGTATTAAACACTTACTCCAAACAGGGTATACTTCAATTAGCCAATCAGTCAACAAAGGTTTGCTGAGGTGCTTCTTGCATGCACCTATTCATCCCTTGCTCTAGCAAACCACTTAATGTTGGGGGAATTACTAGAATGATCATGAAATATGTTAATATATGTAAACAATACAATAATAAAGCTGTTTATAATAACACTCAAATATTTTTGAATGTTGAAAGTATTGTAGCATGAGTTGGAAAGCTGTAACTTCTATGATTTTATAGAAACCTAAGACAGCTCTGAAATATATTTAACTGTCATTCTCTAACAAGATTTGAAGTATTGCAAATGCTACATAAAACTTGTCATGATCTAATGCTTGAATGTACCAAAATAAGGCCAGAATTTACATTAGGCATAACAGAAGTATCTAAAACACTTATGTTAGAACTGCTAAGCTTTCTTTAAACCTTTGTTCTGAATTATTATGTGAAGAGCCAGCCTCTCTGGGGACAGTATCTTTCCCATGCCCTTTGCACACATAGATTACACTTTAAGGAGTGTTTACTATGCATAAAGTTTGATTAAGCCTTCTGTGGGGACCTGAATTGTAGTAAAATCCATTTCAACTGCTCTAGTTAATGGTATTTAGGGCTTCCTAGTTAAGAGAATTTATACTGATTCTTTTCTAGATGCAACTTTTACAAATGGTTCACAGATTCAGGGCTTTTAAAGAAGATATAGTTTTCACCAAGGTGATTTATATTTTCTAGTATTTAGTAAAAAAAAAACTACATGGCATTATGGTTCTGGCCACTTTGCCAAACATTTTTTGTCAGTTAATTTGTTTTAATGGCAGCGATAAGGTTGATTCAGCACATTAGAAATGGCTGTACTTAATTCATTCCTGCTTAAATTCAACTGTTGGAAGTGAGAGAAGAAGCTGCCAAAGGGTAAACAGCTGATAAAAACTCAACTCTGTTAGTATTGATGTTGCATCATACAGGTGCATTTACAAATCAGGATCTGACAGATGATAGCATCATATTGGCAATGTTTACAACAACAAAATAAACTTTCACATGATTGAGTTGACTCTTCTCAAAAATAACCAAACATGCCTGTAATCCCAGCACTTTGGAAGGCTGAGGCAGGAGGATCACGAGGTCAGGGGATTGAGACTATCCTGGCTAACACGGTGAAACCTCGTCTCTACTAAAAATACAAAAAATTAGCCGGGCGTGGTGGCAGGCACCTGTAGTCCCAGCTACTCAGGAGGCTGAGGCAGGAGAATGGCATGAACCCAGGAGGCAGAACTTGCAGTGAGCCAAGGTCGCACAACCGCACACCAGCCTGGGCGACAGAGTGAGACTCTGTATCAAATAAAATAAAATAACCAAAATGAAATGTCATCCTAATCACTGACTCATTCTATTGCTATGTATATACACCATTTAAGGGCAACTGTGAATTCTATATCCGAACAATATTGTCATGGTGATTCTTTAAAGGACTTATCATTGGAAGCATCCTCCCAACATGGGCAATACAAGTCCTGAGAACTGAGGTTGGCCCACGGTCATATTGAGAAATGACCTGGAGTGCCATTTCACTTGGTATACTAGTACATCTCTGGAGTTCTATTCATAAAATATCATAGAAATTTTAAATACAATCATCATAAACACTGATACATGGAGAGTTCTCACCATGTGCCACTTTTTTAACATGTTTACATATATTAACTTATTTAGTCCTTACAGTAACTCCATAGAATACCTACTATTATCTCCCTTCATAGATTACAGGAGAGCGAAACACAAGAAAGGATAAGTAACATGTCCAAGGAAAACGCTGCATATAATTACTAGAGTTCCCCCGCAGAGCAAGTATTTTCTGATTTTGGAAGAAACATTTTGATCAGCTACTTGGTATAGGAAGTGGGATTGCTGTTGCCTGTTTCCTTCTGAAGCCAGCAAATGCACTCAAAGGACTTGCTTGAAAAATAATAAATGGTCACTAATTACTATCTCAAGAGGATGGGTCAATCATATTAACTGCCGGGCTTTGGTTTTGCAGAGTGGAGTAGGCAAATATTGTACCAAAGACTTAGAGCCACACTATTCCTTTCATTCCACTTACAGATAAGCCTTAGGCCTTAGGTTTTGAGGGTATAGGTGTTCTGCTTCCTATATTTATCTTCTGTCCGGAGATTCATTGGGCTTTGCCAGTGTTCTTTAAGAAGTTGAGGCCGGATAAGGAGAAAAAGAAGAAAATTGAACAGATGTTCAGAGAACTGTGGGACAAATTTAAATGTACCAATATATGTGTAATAGAAGCCATAGAATGAAGAGAGAAAAAGAAATATGAAAAATTATTCAAAGAAATAATGGCTGGAAAATTCCCAGATTTGATCTTAAAAAATTTATTCTATAGATGAAAAAATTCAAAAACCCTAACAGGATAAACACAAAGAGATACATACCTAGACACATCACAGTCAAGCTGCTGAAAGTGAAAGACAGAGAAAATCTTGAAAGCAGCAAGAGAAAAATGACTTATGACATACCAGGGAACAACAGTATGATTAATGGCTGACTTCTTGTCAGAAACAATGGAGGCTAAAAGGCAGAGGAATGACATATTAAAAATGTTGGAGAAAATAAAACTCTGTCAACACAGCAAAACAATCTTCAAAAATGAAGGTGAAACAAAGACAGTTATACATAAATAAAAACTGAGATAATTCATTTCTAGTAGACCTGCCTTACAAGAAATACTAAAGTCTTTCAGGCTGAAAGAAAATGACACCAAACAGTAACTTGAATCCACAGGAAGAAATTAGAGCTTTAAAAGTGAAATGTTTGTGAATAAATATTAAAAACTACATATATTTTTTCTCCTCTAGTTTCTTTGAAAAACATAAGTTTATATAAACTCATGATTATAACACTGCTAGAGTAGGCTTACAACATAGATAATTGTAATAAATATGAGAATATTAGAACAAAGGGCAAGGGAGAAAATGAAGCCTATATTGGAGCAAAGTTGTAATAAATTAATATTAACCTGAAGAAGATGCTATAAAAAGTGTATGTTATAATCACTAGAACTACTAAACAACTCAAGAAATATAGTTAAACATTAACAAAGAAATGAAAACTGTACACAGAAAAATATTTGTTAAACAAAAAAAGAAGGTGTTAAATAAATGGGAAAAAATGACATGGGACATACAAAAAATAATAAAATTGAAGATAGAAATCTAAATATTGCAACAATTATGTTAAATATTACTGGACAAAATAATCAAACAGCAGAGATTGTCAAATAGGATAAGAATGGAGCGGGAGGCCATAATCTTAACCAAATTAACCTAGGAACAGAAAAACAGATACCACATGTTCTTACTTATAAGTGGAAGCTAAACATTGAACACACCACATGGACATAAACAGGGAAAAACAGACACTATCAACTATAAGAGGAGGGTGAAAGGGAGGGGGTCATAGGATGAAAAACTACCTATTGGGTACTATGCTCACTATCAGGTACAATATACCCATGTAACAAACTTGCACATGTATCCCTTGCATCTAATATAAAAGTTGAAATTAAAAATAAAATAAAATCCAAAAAACAAATTTTAAAAAACAGCAAGATTCAACTATATGTTGTCTACAAGACTACACACAAATAGGTAGAAAGTAAATGGATAGAAAAGGCAAACCATGAAAACTATAATTATAAAAGAGCTGGAGACATTATATTAATACTCCACTAAACTTTAAGCAACATTCCTAGAAACAAAAAGAATCATTTCATAATAAAATGCTGAATACATCAGGAGATATAAAAATTATAAAGGCATATGCACTTGACAACTGAGTTCCAAAATACATAAAGCAGAAACTTACAGAAGAGAAAAATAGATGATTCAACATTAGAGTTGAATATTTCAATACCCCTCTCTTAGCAATTGAAAAAAAAAAAAAATTAAACATAAGAACAGTAAGGATATAAAACAGCTGAACAACACTGTCAACCAAATTGATGTAACCGGCATTTATAGAACACTACTAAAAAAGATCAGACTTTGTATTTTTTGCAAGTGCACATGAAATATTCTGTATAATATACCATATGCTAAACTATGTTCCACAACACGTGTGGTGGCAGAATGACAATGTGCATAGACATTGTTGGGTAAGTTGGTTTGTTGTGGTAGAATGAGAACATTGGGGCAGCCCCAGATTTGAATCCTGGCTTAGTAATTTACCAGCTGTTAAATTTTAGACAAGCTGTTAAACTTCTCTGAGATTGTAGATAAAAAAGTAATTGCCTAATTAACAGACATCGAAAGAATTCAATATAATATATGTAAGTATCGTTTTTGTAAATCAAAAAGTACTCAATAAAACATATTATTTTATAATTATCATGACAGAAGCAACCATTGCTGTTTACTTATTTTTTAATTTTAAGCAAGTAGTAGAAAACACCTTATCTACTCTAAGTGGTAAGACAGAAAATGAATTGAAACAAAAATTATGATAGGACTGAAATAATAGCAGGCTATGCTTCTGGTGGCTGAGAATACAAGAAGGGGGAAAGAGCCAAGAAGAAGGAAATGAGTAATCTCAAAGAAAAATTTGGGCTACTTTATATATTTACAGAGTGGAACCTTGAAATTGTCTTTCATATGACCTTTAAAAGAGATTATCAAGTTCTAGAGTAATCCTCAAAATACACACACACATAAACACACATCCATGCACATAAACAAATATTCTCACACACATACCTAATGCAAGCACTATACCTATTGAAATCTCTGTAAGCAAAGGCATTTAACTGGGTTGTTTGAAGTATAGTCTAATTAAATTAATATTCTAAATTAATCTATGGAAACCTAAGGAATACAAATTTGTACAGCTGAATTATTTCAAACATATACTATTCTATTGTTTATCAGAAGAAGAAATTTGAATGGTAGAAAAGAGCTTGGTAGTAAAGATTCCAATATTTCAAATGTACTTCCATATATTGTGAGTCTTTGGGCCCAATTACAGGCCCAAACCAAGATAACTTATACTACGGTTTCTGAAGGCAAGTGTCATTCTAGAATGACTAAAGAATAAGTTTGCTTCCAAGTTCATAATAAGTAGCAACAATTCTCTTATGTCTTCTACTCTTGTACTTTTATTTCTGCATTTGTACAAGGAAAATAATAACTATATTTTACTGAGATTTAATGAGTAGATTTTCAAAAACACTATGGTAAATAAGTAGATTTAGATATTCAGTGAGCTCCATGGTTATTGTAGATAATTTATTAAAATGCATATACATTCAATCATCTCTGGTCTTCTAAGAATTTCACATAGTGTACTACAGAACAGCAAAAAAGTCAATTTTACCCTACTCTAGGGAATCAGACTTAATTAGCTTTCTACTTCCTTTTGGGTCTCAGACATGAGAAATGAACTTCCCAGGGTTCTCCTGTCCTTTAACCCTTACTTGCAGAAATGAGTTGAGAATATTTAATCAATCAGGTTTTCTCACAGAGTTATTATATAGCTTCCATATCATAAAAACAGAGTTCAATAATTAGATTTCAAAACATGGAAGATACAAATCCTCTAATACAGTATTATTTCACTGACTACTGTAGTAGTTTTTCAGGATATTAATAGATGTTATGTTAACAAAAAGATTTTATGATTGAGCAAGTTTAAAATAATGAGATTAAACAAAAATTGAACTGCCTTTTCTTTCTTATTTGTTTGCTGTTGTTTTTTTTTTTCTTCAGAAAAGCTAAGAATTTTTTTTTTTCTTTTGAGACGGAGTCTCACTCTGTCTCTGGGCTGGCATGCAGTGGTGCAATCTCGGCTCACCACAACTGCTGCCTCCCAGGTTCAAGCCATTCTCCTGCCTCAGCCTCCCAAGTAGCTGGTATTACAGGCACGTGCCACAACACCCAACTAATTTTTGTGTTTTTGGTTTTTTTTAGTAGAGATGGAGTTTCACCATGCTGGTCAGGATGGTCTCAATCTCCTGGCCTCGTGATCTGCCCACATCGGCCTCCCAAAGTGCTGAGATTACAGGCGTGAGCCACCCCACCCAGCCCAGCTCAGAATTTTTAATGAATGCAGGTACTGTAGGAATTTCTGACAGGGAGATGTAAGATGTACTATAAATGCAGATACTGTAGGAATTTCTGAGAGGGAAATGTAAAATGTACTGTCTCCCAAACTTAATGGACTAACAAACCTAATTTTTCTGAAAAATATTTTGAAAATTGTCGCTTTTCTCCAGCTCACTCTTTTTACAAAAGAAAACTGAAATTCAGAGAAGTAGTTCATTCAAAGTCACAGGTAATTGTAGAACTAGTACTGGGAACCAAGTTTTTTGTGTCTAATGGCAGAAATATTGTCATTTCTCTTCATATCCTTGAGCAAAGGGAAATGACCATATTCTCAGTCTGCTTTAAGAAAAGTTCTGACTTGTCTTATCTTAAATCTTTAATGTTTTATAATATTGTAACAAAAAATCACTTATGTAGTTTCACTGAGTGGTCCATTGACTCAACTTCAGAAGAATAAGAAAGTAGCTACAATTCTTTAATTTTTTGGCGATGCTCTTTTCTCTTTGCCAATGGAAATGTTTTTGTTTCTATAATTTTTTTCTCCTTGTTTTCTACTATACTCCATGCTGCTAAAGAATAGAGAATTTTCTAAGGTGTATATAACTTCACATCAGTAAGGGCATTCTTCTAGATAGTGTAGACTGAATATTAATCCTGACTAGTTACATTTTTCACAGTTTCTATCTAAATGATAATTTCAGTTCATTCTCAGAATTATAATTTGTAACGAACTGAATGTTTGTGTCCCTTCCAAATCCATGGGTCCAATCTCAATGTGATGGTATTTGGAAGTGGGACATTTGAGAGGTAATTACATCACCAAGGTGTGACCATCATGAATGGGAATAGTGCTCATGTAGAAGCCGTAGATCTACCTGGATCTCTTTCTGCCATGTGAGGACATAAAGAGAAGTCAGCCGTCTGCAACCTTGAGAAGGTCCTCACCAGGACCAAACCATGCCAGCATCCTGATCTCAAACTTCCAGCCTCCAGAACTATTAGAAATAAATATCTGTCATTTATAAGATACCCAGTCTGTGGTACTTTGCTATAGCACCCCAACCTAAGTGGTAATTACTTCATGCACAAATATTATACTAAATATTTTATATTTTTGTTTAATCCTTACAATTACTTTATAATGAGGGTAATATTATCAGATATATTTTATAAGAAACAGAAACTTTAAAATGTTAAGGTATTTTCCCAAGCCTGCACTGCTAGCTAGTCGTTGAGCTGCAATTTGAACACTGGCAATTGGACTCCAGAGTCATATTCTTAACCACTCACCATATGGTTGGTTTAGCTTTTAAGTGCTCCCAGAAGTTCAATACCAAGTCACCAAGGCCAAAGTGATTAATTTGATGTGGTGACTAAGAAAACAGAAATAATTAATGCAATATTGATGCTCAATCTGTCACTCAACAGCGTATTAGTCTCACCCTTCAAAAAACATCATTTTTATCTTCCATTAATCTCAACATTTATATGAAGATGATAACTATAATGATATTTCATATCAATAACTCCTATATGCATTGTGCATGATCCAGTGAAGCTGAATATTCAATCGAATAATCAGTAAAGCCCTGAGTCATGACAAATATTTCATTTGTATTTAATGGCCAATGAAGAAAAACAACATTTGAACACATGATACCAACAATTATTTTTGTGGATCAAGATTATTATTGAGTATAAAAGAATGAATTCCATGTTACATTTGGGTATTTGAGAAATGATAACTGCTATTCTAATCAAAACATCAGGGCTCCAATGTCTCCCTTAATATTATTTTACACTTCTATTGTGTATTTGTAACTATTGTTATGGGGGAAAAACGAATGATTTCAAATTCTGAGCCTTTATTTTTAAGTCTCTTACTAGCAAGCTTATTCTACAAGATTAGTCTCAGTATTTCACAAAACTTAAAGTAAGTTTTTAAAGGTCACATATTTAGAATGCAGTTTTAACTTATGATAACAAAACATTTGCACACAAATTATTCTTCGTTTGCCCTTCCAGATTTATTTTCAGCCTTTTTTCTATGCCTTGTTTTGTGCCTCAGGAAGCTGACCTCCGAGGGCTATTACTAGGCTCCCTTGCTCTCCAGCTTTCAATGTTCTACCACTGGGAAGTTCTGGAGGGGAACCAGTGGGCAGGAACATAAATGGGTTAAGGAATTTATTGCTGTTTGGATGTGGCTCCTTGTTCTTATTAGCAGCCATAACTTGATGTCAGAGCTATATTCCCCGCCCATTCAGGTAACTGCTCTCTTCCCTTGCCATTGTCTGTCTAAAAGTAGCAACACCTTTTCAATTTTACTAGCCCTGGGTGCTTCCCTCTTTCTTGTTGATTTCCTTTTGCCTGTCCACATCTCTATGAGCAACACCTCAACTAAACTCTTCAGATATTCCTTTGAGTAGATCATCTGTGTTCCAGCTGAGACCCTAATATACCTTGTTAAAAAACACAAAAGCAATAAACAATCAAACAAACCACCATCTCCTCTCCACTGTGGAAACAGTTCTCACCAGAGCACTGCAAGGGTAATGTATTCACTGTGGAGTCTAGGAGTGTTTGCAATTCTTTCTTTTGTTTAACAACTGCACCCATGACCACTTGACAGCCACTAGACTATTTCACAATCTACTTCATCTAACTTTGAATTATGAAGACCTGAATTATAAGAAGTTTCTTCCCAAAGACAAAGTTTTTATTAACTGAGATATGAAATGCCAATTAAAAGGGAAAACACTTTCAGTCACCTAAAACTGTCTTCTTTTGTTCTCTCTTGAATTAGTTCAAAAGTCACCTCTTTTTGATAGTTGAAGTCATTTACTAAGAATTATTTGTCTGAGACTATCACTGTAATGAATCATGAAAGTCCTTATATCTTAATTTCATCAGGTATAGCTGTAAGAGACGGTGAGGATATTTCCAATTTTAATACTATTTGGGGGAAGGAAAAAAGAACATGGAAGAAAAATGTGAAAACAGTAAAGGCAAAGAAAAACAGCATCCTCCTTTATAGCACAATATTGAAGACTTTCTCTCAATGTAAAATATTAGTTCTAGGAAATTGCTTTAATTTTACTGAAGGAACATGTAAAAACCCTGGACCTTTCAGTTAAAGAAACACACAACAACAAAATTGACATGAATAGGATGTTCAAAAATGAGTACAGATGTTTATTGTTGAATATAAAGAAACAATGACAGCTTTTAAAGATTGTACAGGCAATATGACAAATATGTATATATTAATAAAAATCTTACTGTGGAATTTTTTTAATCACTGTATTCTATAATTTTAATTGTTTAAAGATTTATTCTTTAAATGAGACCTTTGCATTCTTTTTAATGTTATTAGAACCAGTTAAGATGACTAGTAAAAAAGAAATTATAAATAATAAACATTTATTGAGCATTTATTAGGTACCAGACACTGTGCTGTATGTTTTATACACACTAGCTTATCCTCCAAATGGCTAATAATAGCTAACGTTTATTAAGCACTTACAAAGTACTAGATACAATTCCAAATGCTTTACACACATTATCATTCAATCCTCACATCAAATCTATAACTGAGAGGTGAAGCCAGCTGGACTTCCTAGGTCAAGTGGGGACTTGGATAACTTTTCTCTCTAGCTAAAGGATTGTAAATGCACCAATCAGCACTCTGTAAAAACACCCCGATCAGCACTCCATGTCTAGCTAAAGGTTTGTAAATGCACCAATCAGCACTCTGTAAAAAAGTACCAATCAGTGCTCTGTGTCTAGCTAAAGGTTTGTAAATGCACCGATCAGCACTCTGTAAAAATGCACCAATCAGCGCTCTGTGTCTAGCTAAAGGTTTGTAAACACACCCATCAGCACTCTATAAAATGGACCAATCAGCAGGACATGGGTGAGGACAAATAAGGGAATAAAAGCTGTTCATCCCAGCGAGCAGTGGCAACCCACTTGGATCCCCTTCCATGCTGTGGAAGCTTTGTTCTTTCACTCTCCAAAATAAATCTTGCTGCTGCTCACTTTTTGGGTCTGCACTACCTTTATGAGCTGTAACACTCACCACGAGGGTCTGTGGCTTCATTCCTGAAGTCAGCGAGACCAAGAACCCACTGGGAGGAAGAAACAACTCCAGGCGTGCCACCTTTAAGAGCTGTAACACTCACTGCAAAGGTCTGCGGCTTCAGTCCTGAAGTCAGTAAGACCACGAACCCACTGGAAGGAAGAAACTCCAGACACATCTAAACATCTGAAGGAATAAACTCCAGACACACCAACTTTAAGAACTGTAACACTCACCGCGAGGGTCTGCAGCTTCATTCTTGAAGTCAGTGAGACCAAGAACCCACCGGAAGGAACCAATTCCAGACACATTTTGGCAACCCAGATGGGACTTTTGCCTACCACCAAGCGGTGAGAACCATTGGACCCCTTTCACTTGCTATTCTGTCCTATTTTTCCTTCGAATTTATGGGCTAAATACCGGGCACCTGTCAGCCAGCTAAAAGCAACTAGCGCAGCTGCCGGACTAAAGACATAGGTGTCAGGCTTTCTGAGAAAGGGCTCTCTAACAACCCCCAACTCTTTGGAGTTGGGAGCATTGGTTTGCCTGGAACCAGCTTCCACTTTTCCTGTACTTCCAGGCTGAGCCGAGGGTTGACAGAAAGGAAAGCCATTCAGCTGCAGAGTCCTGACAAAAAGGTGGTTGACCCTGTGGCCATGAGCAGAACTCTTAAAGTCATGTCGCCCAAGTGAGACTCACCCATCTATCCTATCTATTCTGACCCTTGCCTCCTGGGTCCTAATGCCTATCAGACAAACTTCCTCTCGCCTCTCTTCTCTGAGGCTAGTCCCGCTTCTAAAAACCACTCCCTGTCTCTGGTGCTTTTCTAGTTTCTCCTATAAGAATGGTTTCTAGTATAAACTCCAGGACTCTATTCCCTTCTTTAGGCACCTGGGCTCACCAATCAGAAAGACATAATTTTTGCCCAAAGCCCCATCATAGAGGGGAATAACTGGAATTTTAGGATCTCTCCTCAGACTAGCAGGCCTAACAAAAGCTATTCCTGAAGCTAGGATATGGGGAGTCTCAGAAATTGTATCCTTCCTATTCATATAAGAGAGGACAAAAGGCATCACTCTTCCAACTCTGGAGATCCCTTTCCTACCTCATGATATGGCCCTCCACTTCATTTTTCAGGCATAACATCTTTATAGGACAGGGGTAAATTCCCAACACTAGCAGGAGAATGCTTAGGACTCTAACAGGTTTTCTAGAATGTGTCAGTAAGGACCACTAAATCCGATTTTTCTCAGCCCTCTTTGTGGTCTAGGAAGACAGGCAAGGGTGCTGGTTTTTGAGAATGCATTGGTAAGGGCCACTAAATCCAATATTCCTCAGTCCTCTTTGTGGTCTAGGAGGAAAACTAGTGTTTCTGCTGCTGTGTCAGTGAGCACAACTATTCTGATCAGCAGGTCCAGGGACCATTGTGGGTTCTTGGGCAAGAGGTGTTTCTGCTGCTGCGTCAGTGAGCACAACTATTCTGATCAGCAGGGTCCAGGGACCATTGTGGGTTCTTGGGCAGGGGGAGAAACAAACAAACCAAAACTGCAGGTGGTTTTTTCTTTCAGATGGGAAACACTCAGGCATCAACACGCTCACCCTTGAAATGCATCCTAAGTCATTGGGACCAATTTGACCCACAAATTCGGAAAAAGAGGCGGCTCATTTTTTTCTGCACTATGGCTTGGCCCCAATATTCTCTCTCTGATGGGGAAAACTGGCCACCTGAGGGAAGTATAAATTACAATACTATCCTGCAGCTTGACCTTTTCTGTAAGAGGGAAGGCAAATGGAGTGAAATACCTCATGTCTAAGCTTTCTTTTCATTGAAGGAGAATCCACAACTGTGCAAAGCTTGCAATTTACATCCCACAAGAGGACCTCTCAACTTACCCCCATATCCTAGCCTCCCTATAGCTCCCCTTCCTATTAATGATAAGCCTCCTCTAATTTCCCCTGCCCAGAAGGAAAAAAGCAAAGAAATCTCCAAAGGACCACAAAAACCCCTGGGCTATTGGTTATGTCCCCTTCAAGCTGTAGGGGGAGGGGAATTTGGCCCAACCCGGATACATGTCCCCTTCTCCATCTCTGATTTAAAGCACATCAAGGCAGACCTGGGGAAGTTTTCAGATGATCCTGCTAGGTACACAGATGTCCTACAGGGCTAGGGCAAACCTTCGATCTCACTTGGAGAGATGTCATGCTATTGTTAGATCAAACCCTGGCCTTTAATGGAAAGAATGTGGCTTTAGCTGCAGCCCAAGAGTTTGGAGATACCTGGTATCTTAGTCAAATAAATGATAGAATGACAGCCGAAGAAAGGGACAAATTCCCTACCAGTCAGCAAGCCATCCCCAGTATGGATCCCCACTGGGATCTAGACTCAGATCATGGAGACTGGAGTCGTAAACATCTGCTGACCTCTGTTCTAGAAGGACTAAGGAGAATTAGGAAAAAGCCCATGAATTATTCAATAATGTCCACCATAACTCAGGAAAAGGAAGAAAATCCTTCTGCCTTCCTCAAGTGGCTATGGGAGGCCTTAAGAAAATATACTCCCTTGTCACCTGACTCACTAGAGGGTCAATTGATCCTAAAAAATAAGTTTATTACCCAATCAGCTGCAGGTATCAGGAGAAAGCTCCAAAAGTGAGCCCTGGGCCCTGAAAAAAATCTGGAGACATTATTAAACCTGGCAACCTTGGTGTTCTATCATAGGGACAAAAAGGAACAGGCCAAAAAGGAAAAGCAATATCAGAGAAAGGCCTCAGCCTTAGTTACGGCCCTCAGACAAACAAACCTTGGTGGCTCAGAGAGGACAGAAAATGGAGCAGGCCAGTCACCCAGTAGGGCTTGTTATCAGTATGGTTTACAAGGACACTTTAAAAAAGATTGTCCAACGAGAAACAAGCCTCCCCCTCATCCATGTCCACTGTGCCAAGGCAATCACTAGAAGGCACACTGCCCCAGAAGGCAAAGGTTTTCTGGGCCAGAATCCCCCAACCAGATGATCCAACAACAGGACTGAGGGTGCCCAGGACAAGCACCAGCTCAATGTCATCACCCTCGCTGAGCACCGGGTATGTTTAACCATTGAGGGCCAGGAAGTGGACTCTTCCTGGACACTGGCACAGCCTTCTCAGTGTTAATCTCCTATCCCAGACGACTGTCCTCAAGGTCCATTACCATCCAAGGAATCCTGGGACAGCCTGTAACCAGGTATTTCTCCCAACTCCTCAGTTGTAATTGGGAGACTTTGCTCTTTTCACATGCCTTTCTTGTTATGCCTGAAAGTCCCACACCCTTATTAGGGAGTGATATATTAGCCTAAGCTGGAGCTATTATCTACATGAATATGGGGAACAAGTTACCCATTTGTTGTCCCCCACTTGAGGAGGGAATCAACCCTGAAGTCTGGGCATTGGAAGGACAATTTGGAAGGGCAAAAAATGCCCACCCAGTCCAAATCAGGCTAAAAGACCCCACCACTTTTCCTTATCAAAGGCAATATCCCTTAAGGCCTGAAGCTCATAAAGGATTACAGGATATTGTTAAACATTTAAAAGCTCAAGACTTAGGAAATGCAGCAGTCCCTGCAACACCCCAATTCTAGGAGTACTAAAAACCAAAGTTAGTGGAGACTAACGCAAGATCTTAGACTCATCAATGAGGCAGTAATTCCTCTATATCCAGTTGTATCCAAACCCTATACCCTGCTCTCTCAAATACCAGAGGAAGCAGAATGGTTCACCATTCTGGACCTCAGGTATGCCTTCTTCTATATTCCCCTGCACTCTGACTCCCAGTTTCTCTTTTCCTTTGAGGATCCCACAGACCACACGTCCCAACTTACATGGACAGTCTTGCCCCAAGGGTTTAGGAATAGCCCTCATCTGCTTTGTCAGGCACTGGCCCAAGATCTAGGCCACTTCTCAGGTCCAGGCACTCTGATCCTTCAATATGTGGATGATTTATTTTGGCTACCAGTTTGGAAGCCTCATGCCAGCAGGCTCCTCTAGATCTCTTGAACTTTCTAGCTAATCAAGGGTAAAAGGCATCTAGGTTGAAGGCCCAGCTTTGCCTACAGAAGTCAAATATCTAGGCCTAATCTTAGCCAGAGGGACCAGGGCCCTCAGCAAGGAATGAATACAGCCTATACTGGCTTATCCTCACCCTAAGACATTAAAACAGTTGCAGGTGTTCCTTGGAATCACTGACTTTTGCCGACTATGGATCCCCAGATACAGCGAGATGGCCAGACTACTCTATACTCTAATCAAGGAGACCCAGAGGGCAAATGCTCATCTAGTAGAATGGGAACCAAGGGAGAAACAGCCTTCAAAACCTTAAAGCTGGCCCTAATACAAGCTCCAGCTTTAAGCCTTCTCACAGGACAAAACTTCTCTTTATACGTCACAGAGAGAGCAGGGATAGCTCTTGGAGTCCTTACTCAGACTCATGAGACAACCCCACAACCAGTGGCACCCCTAAGTAAGGAAATTGATGTAGTAGCAAAAGGCTGGCCTCACTGTTTATGGGTAGTTGTGGCAGTGGCCATCCTAGTGTCAGAGGCTATCAAAATAATACAAGGAAAGTATCTCACTGTCTGGACTACTCACAATGTAAATGGCATACTAGGTGCCAAAGAAAGTTTATGGCTATCAGACAACCGTCTACTTAGATACCAGGTGCTACTCCTTGAAGGACTGGTGCTTCAAATATGTATCTGTGTGGCCCTCAACCCTGCCACTTTTCTCCAAGAGGATGGGGAATCAATTGAGCATGACTGCCAAAAAATTATAGTCCAGACTTATGCTGCCCAAGATGATCTCTTAGAAGTCCCCTTAGCTAATCCTGACCTTAACCTATATACTGATGGAAGTTCATTTGTGGAGAATGGGATAGAAAGGGCAGGTTATGCCATAGTTAGTGATGTAATCGTACTTGAAAGTAAGCCTCATCCCCCAGGGACCAGCACCCTGTTAGCAGAACTTGTGGCACTTACCCGAGCCTTAGAACTGAGAAAAGGAAAAAGAATAAATGTGTATACAGATAGCAAGTATGCTTATCTAATCCTACATGTCTATGCTGCAATATGGAAAGAAAGGGAGTTCCCAACCTCTAGGGGAATACCCATTAAATGCCACAAGAAAATTACGGAGTTATTGCATGCAGTGCAAAAACCCAAGGAGGTGGCAGTCTTCCACTGCCAAAGCCATCAGAAAGATCAAGGAGAAAAGGCAGAAGGAAACTGTTGGGCAGATGCTGAGACCAAAATTGCTGCCAGGTGGAACCTCCCATTAGAAATACCTACGGCAGGACCCTTGGTATGGAACAACCCCCTCCAAGAGATTAAGCCCCAGTATTCCCCAACTGAAACAGAATGGGGACTTTCACGGTGGCATAATTTTCTCCCCTCAGGGTGGTTAATGATAGAAGAAGGAAAAGTACTTATACCTGAAGTCAGCCAGCGGAAAATACTTAAAACCCTCCACCAAATTTTTCATATGGGTATTGAAAACACTCATCAAATGGCCAAATCCCTATTTGCAGGGCCAAATCTCCCCCAGACCATCCAATAGGTAGTCAAATCCTGTGAGGTGTGCCAAAGGAATAATCCCTTGGTCCATCATAAGGCCCCTTTGGGGGAACAAAGAATAGGTCACTATCCCGGAGAGGACTGGCAGTTAGACTTCACCCATATGCCTAAGTCAAAGGGATTTCAATACTTGTTGGTCTGTGTTGATACCTTTACAAATTGGATATAAGTTTTCCCCTGCAAGACAGAGAAGGCTCAGGAAGTGATTAAAGTCCTAATTCATGAAATAATTCCTAGATTTGGGATTCCCCAAAGCTTACAGAGTGACAATGGTCCAGCTTTTAAAGCCACGATAACTCAGGGAATTTCCAGGGCACTAGGGATACAATATCACCTTCACTGCACCTGGAGGCCACAATCCTCAGGGAAGGTTAAGAAGGCAAATGAAACACTCAAGAGGCACTTAAGGAAACTAACACAAGAAATTCATCTCCCACGGCCTACTACTCTTTTGCCCATGGCCTTGTTGAGAATCTGAAATTCTCCTCACAAAATGGGGCTCAGTTCATATGAAATGCTGTATGGATGACCTTTTCTCACAAATGACCTCCTACTTGACCAGGAAATGGCCAACTTGGTCAAAGATATAACTTCTTTGGCAAAATATCAACAAAACCTTAAAAACCTACCTGAAGGATGGCACAGAGAAAAGGGAACAGAGTTGTTTCAACCAGGAGATCTAGTGTTGGTCAAATCTCTCCCCTCTACCTCCCCATCTATGGACTCTTTGTGGGAAGGACCATACTCAGTAATCCTCTCTACCCCCACTGCAGTTAAGGTGGCAGGAGTAGAATCTTGGATTCACCACACCGGAGTTCAATTTTGGACACCCTCTGAGGAACCTGTGGGACTGTCAGCTCAGGAGTCCCAAGATCAGCCAGACCAGCCTCGATACACCTGTGAGCCACTGGAGGACTTGCATCTCCTATTTCAGAAGGAAACATCCCAGACTAAAAAGGCTCCTACCACTGATCCTGAAGAAAACCCCTTCCTCCTTAAAAAAAATAAGTGAAAACCTACATAATCTTTATCTTTAACACCTCTCCTTGCCCCTTTAATGGAATCCTTTTACTATTTCATCATATTATTAAGCAGCATACTAACCATACTCGTTGCGATAGGACTATATACTGTAGCTCCTGCCGGGATGAAAATCCTAATCACATCAACCTTCTTTCTATCTTCTTTCCTTCTGACAGCAATTTACTCCTATCTTTAACTCAGACTGGATAAAATGATTTTGTCTTCCAGAGCACCCTCTTTACCTTCCTATTTACTCTTTGCCTATTTATCCCTCCTGCTTCCTTGGATACCTCATACAATTGCCCCACCCCCCTTCCACTAGCTCCTAATTACCTCCACAAGACTCTGAACTTAACCCACACTCTGTTAAAATAGTCCAATCCTTCCCTGGTAAATGACTGTTGGCTTTGTATCTCTCTATCAACCTCTGCTTACATTGCCACTCCCATTCCCACAAAAAAATTGGGTCTTTACCAACTTAACCTATCACCCTTGTTATGAAGGAAAAGACCCTTTCCAACTTCTAAATATGCAATCATTAGCCAACTTCCCCATCTCTGATAGGACCAAGAATATCCTAACAGGACGTGCAATCCAACTTTTACGTTCTTACATTTCCAACCTCACCTATTACACAAGCAATGAAAAGCCCATACATGGCCCTGTAACTATGAATACCATCTTAACTTTCCAAGCCCCTTTATGCATCCAATGCAACCTATTGTCAGGCCTGCCCCTGGGGCACCTACTACTCCATCAGTATAATTACAACCTACAACTTCAAGCCCCAACAGATCATAGTAACTTCCAAGTCACCCAAACAGCTCCATTCAGCCGGCTTGTCTGCTTCTCAGGTCCTCCAAAAATCATCACCTCCTCCCTGCATAACAAACAGTCCAGGTTTTGTGAGGGCAAACATAATTCCTGCATGACCATTCACCCCTGGGCCCCCTGCAGCAGTGCCCCCACCACTAGTGAATGCCTTCTCATCCCCTCTTTCAATCACTCTCTCAAATTGTTCCTAGTAGATACAGAATGGTTTTCTCTCCACTGGGAAAATAGAACACAGGGAGCCACTCAGTTTGCTCCCAACAGCCCTTTCGAGCCGCTCACTGGAGCTACCTTGGCAAGTACTCTAAGAGTATGGGAAAATGGAAAGAACAAACTCACACACCTCTTTAACATACACAACCAGTTCTGTCTACCCACCAAGGTATATTCTTCTCATGTGAAAGGTCAACCTATGTCTGCCTCCCCACTAACTGGACAGGCACCTGCACCTTAGTCTTTCTAAGTCCCAACATTAACATTGCCCCAGGAAATCAGACCCTATGAGTACCCCTCAAAGTTCAAGTCTGTCAGCTCAGAGCCATACAACTAATACCCCTACTTACAGGGTTAGGAATGGTTCTTGGTACAGGAACCAGAATAGCCAGTTTATCTACTTCATTATCCTACTACCACATACTCTCAAAGGATTTCTCAGACAGTTTGCAAGAAATAACGAAATCTATCCTTACTCTACAATCCCAAATAGACTCTTTGGCAGCAGTGACTCTTCAAAACCACCGAGGCCTAGACCTCCTCACTGCTGAGAAAGGAGGACTCTGCACCTTCTTAGGGGAAGAGTGTTTTTACACTAACCAGTCATGGATAGTATGAGATGCCACCCAGCATTTACAAGAAAAGTCTTCTGAAATCAGACAACGCCTTTCAAACTCTTTTGCCAGCCTCTGGAGTTGGGCGACATGGCTTCTCCCCTTTCTAGGTCCTGTGACAGCTATCTTGCTATTACTCGCCTTCAGGCCCTGTATTTTTAACCTTCTTGTCAAATTTGTTTCCTCTAGGATAGAGGCCATCAAGCTACAGATGGTCTTACAAATGGAACCCCAAATGAGCTCAACTAACAACTTCTACCGAGGACCCCTGGACTGACCTGCTGGCCCTTTCACTGGCCTAAAGAGTTCCCCTCTGGAGAACACTACAACTGCAAGGCCCCTTCTTTGCCCTATCCAGCAGGAAGTAGCTAGAATGGTCATCACCCAAATTCCCAACAGCCATTGGGGTGTCCTGTTTAGAGGGGGGATTGAGAGGTGAAGCCAGCTGGACTTCCTGGGTTGAGTGGGGACTTGGAGAACTTTTCTGTCTAGCTAAAGGATTGTAAACACACCAATCAGCACTCTGTAAAAATGCACCAATCAGCACTCTGTGTCTAGCTAAAGGTTTGTAAATGCACCAATCAGCACTCTGTAAAAATGCACCAATCGTCCTCTGTGTCTAGTTAAAGGTTTGTAAATGCACCAATCAGCACTCTGTAAAACAGACCAATCAACACTGTAAAATGGACCAATCGGCGCTCTGTAAAATGGACCAATCAGCAGGACGTGGGTGGGGACAAATAAGGGAATAAAAGCTGGCCATCCCAGCAAGCAGCGGCAACCTGCTTGGGTCCCCTTCCATGCTGCAGAAGCTTTGTTCTTTTGCTCTTCAAAATAAATCTTGCTGCTGCTCACTCTTTGGGTCCGCACTACCTTTATGAGCTGTAACACTCACTGCGAGGGTCTGCGGCTTCATTCCTGAAGTCAGCAAGACCAAGAACCCACTGGGAGGAACAAACAACTCCGGGCGCGCCACTTTTAAGAGCTGTAACACTCACCGTTCAGGTCTGCAGCTTCATTCTTGAAGTCAGCGAGACCAAGAACCCACCGGAAGGAACCAGTTCTGGACACATAACCATTATTATTATCTTTATTTTGCCAGTAAAAACACTGAGGCAGAGAAAGGTTAAGCAACTTGCCCAAGGTTACATATCTCTTAAGTAGTAGAACTGGAATATGAGCCCAAGGACTAGCTTGAGAACTCTTCCTTTTTAACTCTGTTTTTATCATGCCCATTTTCAGTGCTAAGAACCAAGATTTAAAAGAATTTAAGTATAGTTAGCCCTATGCATCCATGAGTTCCATATCTGCAGATTCAACCAACAGTGGAATGAAAAGGTTTAGGAAAAAAAATTCTACAAACTCCCAAAAAGCAAAACTTGAGTTTGCCATGCACTCAGAGCTATGTAGAATCCACACAAATGAAGTAATGTGTTGGCCTTGTATTAAGTATTATAAGTAATTTAGAGATCATTTAAAGTATATGGGAGGAAGTGCATAGACTATATGCAAATACTATGCCATTTTATATCAGGGACTTGAGCCCCTTTGATTTTGGTATCTGGGGGAGTTCTGGAACCAATCTCCCACAGATACTGAGGGAAGACTGTAATTTGTCTAAGTCACACAGCTAATAAGTAATTGTATTTGTTTCTAGGGCTACCATAAGCAAGTACCACAAACTGAGTGGCTTAAATGACAGAAATTTATTTTCTCACAATTCTGAGGGCTGGAAGTCCAAATTCAGTGTTGGCAGGGTAGGTGTCTCCTGAGGGCTGTGAGGAAAGGATCTGCTCCAGGCCTCTTTCCAGGCCTGTAGATGGTCGTCTTCATGTTCATATGGCATTCTGCTTGAATGCAAGTCTGTCTCCAAATTTCCCCTTTTTATAAAGACACCAGTCATACTGGATGAGGACCCATTCTAATAACCTCATCTTAAACTAATTATCTCTGTAAACACTCTGCCTCCAAATATGGTCCATTGTGAGATATCAGGGATTAGGACTTTAACATATGAATGAATTTAGGGGGACCCAATTCAACCCATAACAGTGATGGATGTAGGACTCAAATCTAAGGATTCTGACAATATAATCAGATTAATAAAAACCCCATTCTTTCAGCAACTCAAATGTAAAGATCACCTACATAAAACCCCAACATCCACAGATGTGCAGTGACCAGTGGCAGAGATGAGCTCAGATCATTGTCATCCAGACTCCCTTAAATGGGGAGTGTGTTCTTTCTGGGACACTATGACATATACATTTAGGACACTAGTTCTCCAAGTGAAGGAAAATGATAGATGGATGAAATGACCATTTCTCTTCTGTTAGCCACAGAACTTTCTTTTGACAGTAAATTCTGAGAACTTATCTAAGCCGTACATCACTTAAATCACATCTCTTAAGTCACTTTATCAATAGTCACAATTCTGAACCTAAGGCAGGTCCCCCAAGAGATGTTGCCACCTGTATAGAAACGCTTAAATTATACTCCAGCCAAAGTCCTGTAAAGACTAAGCGGCTTTAAATTAACCCAAACTCTTTTTCTTAGCATTTCATCATTTCCTTTTGTGCTAATTGACTTATAATCCTAAATTTATATTTTCTCAAATAAAAGAGCTTTGCCATTTTCAGCAGCTAGGAGATGTGATTCTGGGGGCATAAAAAGCAGATGCTTCTTTTATGAAAGAATAGAAAGCTCAGGGCTCCAATGTCTCCCTTAATATCATTTTACACTTATATTGTTCACTTACAACTATTGTTATAGGGGGAAAAATGAATGCTTTCAAATGCTGAGCCAGTATTTTTAAGTCTCTTATTAGCAAGCTTATTCTACAAGATTAGTCTTGGTATTTCACAAAACTTAAAGTAATTATTTAAATTAGGGTCTTAAGCAGGAGATATACTTTGCACGTATATTTTCAACACTGCTCTACTTGTTCATTAGCAAATGTAAAAATAAGACCATGTGTTTTTAATTATGGTATAACAATAATAATAATAATAGATACTCTGAGACTACAAAGCCACATGAGCAAGCTTTTGCTATTATTTTCTGAGAACCTTGCCATACTTCTAGAATTTTTAGAGACCTTGTATACATCTTATCAAGTATACATTTTATCTAGTTCTTAAAGCAACTGTGCAATACACTTTTCATTCTCCCTATTTTACAGATGAAGAGAATGACACCCGAAAGACTAAGTAATATTCTAGGGAATAATATTCAGTGTGGAAATCAACACTTGAAGCCTGATCCCTCTTTCTGGGTTCTCAACCACTGGCTAGAGTGCCAGAGAGACAGATAGTCAGGAAAGGCTAGACTTTGAATTTAGAAGTGAAGAGTTTTACATAGACTTGAGTAGACAAAAGGACTAGGTCCGATCTCAAGGACTTGTGGCTAAAGTAGGAGAGGTCAATTCTGGCAAGTGCTCAGAGTTAAGCATTAACAGAGTCAGGAAGATCACTATGAACAGACCTGCTGAGCTCCAAAACTCAGACAGAAGCTGTTTTTATTTTGCCTGATTAAAGCTGTCTGCAGGTAGTCCTTGATCTGTGGGTACTGATTGTGGTTTAATGAGGATAATGAGGCTTGAAGTGGTTCTTTCCTTTCAGCAAAGACAGAGATATGAGTATTAACCCATGGTATTTCTGGACTAAAACAGGGCGGAGCTAGAGAATTGATTGCAAATTGCTCCAGCACAAATCTCCCCTCGAAGGCTCCTTCTTTCTGAGAACCAATGGCTGGATTAAACTGTTTATTGGTCTTTCCAAACCCAGGAGTCTACATTAAGATTCCAGTCACTGAATGTCTTAAACGTTCTGGCCAATTCAACACTTTTCCTATTTCTTCATTTGTTTGTTTATAGATTTGCTAGAAAAATTTGTGTAAGTACACCTTTCAAAAGTCAGCAGGCAATTCTTGCTAAATAGGATGCATGGTACTTCATAGGCAAAATGATATTTAGGTGATTGTGATATGTCTTATAAATTCATATTTATAATTTATAAATATATTATTTACAAATAATTTATAAATATATTTATGGTATTTATACATTAATGTGTATAAAAAGAGCATTTTCAAATCAAGGCATACTTCTTATATCTTGATTAGTCTCAAATTAGTTAAATACATAACATTTTCTTCCCAGTTCAAAAGATTTACGATGGTTCATTATCCTGAGAGCGCAATGGTCAGTAAGAAGGCTGTTTCTGTGACACCCGCCCCAGCATGGTGTCTACACCTATTTTATTCCTTTTTACAGAGTGCTATTTTCGGCATTCCTGTTAAGATCTATTGCCCTTTTTAATGATAATGAGGTGATGAAGAGGGAAAAGAAAACTATTAAGGATCACTCATCTGTTCTTCAGATTTCAAGTTGGTCATTCAACTGAAAGGTGATTCTGCAACAGACAGAGACATGTTCTTGATGCAGGGTTCTGTTCCAGAGGCAACTGAAGCCTTACTGTCTAATACATATTGGTCTTGAACACTAGACAGCTTCAGACAGCTTCCATTGTCCTTTAGTAATTTAAGGGGCAATCCTGACTCAACAGGTCTAAAGGAAGCATTTCCCCCCAAATAACAAAATAGATAAGCTAGAGTTTCTCATTTGAAGAGGAATCAGGGGGGTTAAGTTGTTTGTTTTTGTTCAAAGGTAGAAGTAAAGAAAACACAACTCAAAGGAAAATACAAAGGGGTTATTCACCATTTGGAGTTAACAGAGTCACATGGATTTTTCTGGTCAAAGCTGCTTTACTTGCACAGAGCAGAGGCCCATGCAAGCCAGCTCAAATATGTCAGATCTAACTGATGTGGCACATAAAGGTAGAATTACACATCACTGGATAAGATCGGAAACAGCTGGAAATTAGTATCATTGAAGCTGCATCTCCATCCCTCTTTGTCTCTGCCTCTCTCTGTGCTTCTGTCTTCTCTTTTTACTCACTTTATTCTTTTTCTGTCTCTTTTTACATCTGGCTTTAGCTCATCAGGATTTCAGTGTTAGCCCTTAACCTACATGATCTTTTATCTCAGTCTTTCAGTCTCCCAATTCCAAATTTCCAAGAAGGAATGTTAATGGATCAATCGGAAACAGATGTTCATGCCTGATCAAGTAGCCCTTGTAGGGATATTGATCACCTAACACAAACCTGACTACCTGGATGGGTCAATTTTGGAACCAAATTGCACTTCCTCACATGTCTGCTATATTGAGAAGTCACCTGCATCAAATTTAAGTCACTGCCTACTTACAAAACTAGGAAATTACTGCCTTATTTGCCATCAACAACAGGGAATATCTCTGCCTTGGATTTCTACTCTGCCACATAGACCAGCAGCCTCTGTTGTACTACTATAGTGGAAAGAGCTACAAACCAAATATAGCAACGTGGGATATTTCATACCCAGACAACCTCCAGGTTGTATGGTCTTGATTAAAAATACTTAACCTCTCTCTGAGCCTATGGCTTGGAAAAAGTGGGGAGAGAGAGAGATACATTAAACTAGATAATCTTCAACATTCTTTCCCAATTAAATGTGTTGTAAACATTGTGTTCAGTTATTTTGATAGAATCAGCACTAAACTCGGGTTGATACATGTCAGAGAAATGACTACCACTTCTCTCTTTATGAGGTTGGCCTATTTCCTAATTAACTTCTCTCCCATCTCACTACATTTCATCCCACAGTGAACATCACTAATATTAGACTGTCTCTAGTGTCCTAAGCATGTCAAGAATGTTCCTCTGTGTCCTTGCTATTGCTGTTCTCTCAGCCAAGAATGCCCTTGACACCATTGCCTGCTATTGAAACACTGCTTATCCTTCAAGACCCAGTGAAAACATCACCCCCTCTCTACAGCATTTCCTGATAAAAATAATTAATTGTCCCTTTTTTTCAGGCACAGGATACTAATGCACCTCTTCAAGCATGGATTTCATTTGGACTTAAAATAAATTTATTCGGTAATTTATTCTATATCACTTTCTAAGTCATAAATGCCTAAAGCACATGGATTATTTCTTGGGCACTTGTGTATCTCCACAAGAGCACCTGGTAATTATTTAGAATAAAGTAGATACTGAATGAATGAATGAATGCATCCTCATTAAATAAAAAAAGCTGAAATCAGAAACCTAGTACTCACGAAAGCATAAAACATTTTGTAGGTCAGGCCCAGTAGCTCACGCCTGTAATCCCAGGACTTTGCGAGGCCAAGGAGGAAGGATTGCTTGAGGAGGAGTTCAAGGCTGCAGCTAGCTATGATCGCACCACTATACTCCAGCCTGGGTGAAACACAGCAATAATCTGACTCAGAAATTTTTTTTTTTTTTTTTTACATACAACACTTTGGAAATTTCTTCATGATGCAATGAGGTAACAGAATGCCAAGATTATTTTTATAAATACTTTGGTTACTCAAACTTATCTGTATTTTATAATACTGATAGTATAATCATGGCTACCAATCCAAGTAAGCAGGTCAACAGGAAATCAGTAAAATAATCTTTTTCTCCACTTTTATAATATGGTATTGTATTCAAATAGCTAAATGTTAGAAATTAATTTCCTTTGCTCATTGCCGTGTATCATCACAAACTGCAATGAAAATTTTAAGTGTTCTATACTCAAAGTCCTCTAAAATGCAAATATTTTATCTATTCTGCCTTTTATGCCTGCTCTTTAACCATGAGTACTGAACCTTGCTGAATTTCTGACATTATCCTCAACATCAGTTTAACTAGTTGCTCTAGTTTCATCTTGTAAAAATGTGGCAAGGTCAGCATGCTTGAATGTAACACTGTCAACCCCTGCTGACTTGAACTCCATGACTGCATATAGTTAGTTCCATAAAGACAAGTTATATTCTTCTTTTGGGTATTGCTAAATTGCATGAATATATGTCTACAGATCTTGGGCTGCAGTGAAGAAACTCTTCTGAGGCATGTTTAGAAAATACCAACACTTCAGTACATAGGTTTGTAATCAAACCTTTATTCTGTGGTGCCGTGGCCCTAGGGCTGCTTGACTTTAAAAATGAATGAGCCAAAGATGATGAGAGACTACAGCTGGGAGACTCTACCACAGACATTAGAAACACAAATTCTGTTATGTAAAAGAAACAAATCATTGGGCACCAACATATTCTAAAGAAAAACTCCTTATTATTCACCTGCCTCTGCATTCATTGTACACTCACTAAGACTGGCTTCCAGCTATTAATTTTACAATAATAGGAAGGTTTATCTGAATGAGGGAATTGAATATTCCAGTTAATGGTAAAGAATATTACTTTTAAATTAATGCATCTACCTTAATTTATTCCTCAGTCTTCCATGAGTTAAAATGAATAAGTTGTTCTTAATCCAGGCAACAGAAAGTGCCTTGACAAAGATATAATTGCAGACATGCAAATTAAGTATCACATGCTGAACCTTGGGAAAAAATGTATGAAAATGTTGCCAAGCACTGAGACCGCCCAACAATCTCTATTGGTAAAGCAAACTCATCATTACCCTCTTTGTCACAACTGCATAGCTTATTCAATTTTCATAAACTGAACCTACCTATTTAACCAGCATACAGATCAATATATAGCATTTAGCAACTAATACACCCCCTTCCAGTCAATAACCCCCTGATAAGGGTTTATCTTACTATTACATAGTTTTGCCTGGTTTTGATGCTTACACCAACAAAATTGTATAGTGCCTTATCTCTTTTGTGTTTGACTTGTTTCACTCAACATTATATTTGTAAGATTCATCCAGACAGTTGTCTGTAGTTGTTCATTCTTATTACTGTATAGTAGTATTTCATTCTATACTATATCACAATGTATTAACCAATTGTCCTGTTGATATACTTTCAGATAGTTTCTGATTTGGAACTAATACAAATAGTGCTATCAGCTTGTTTTAAGATATATTTTTAGAAGTAGAGTGGCTATGTATGCGTGTGATCAGCTTTAGTAGTATTGCCAAAAACTGGTCTTTCGAGGAGTTGTACTAGCTTCCCTTTTACAAGCAATGTGAGTTATAATTACTACCTATCTCCAGCAGTGCTTTATTATCCTCTTTTAATCTACAATAAATAGTATGTCCCTTTGTGTTTACCTAGTAAATTGATCTCCTACAAATATTTTTAAATAAAAATGTTATCAACTAAGTACACAATATGTTGCATCAAATATTGTATTAAATTGCCATTGCTATATGAGCTTTTATGATGTATTACAGCAAATGATACAGAGATTTGGGTAAAAATTTGTATTCTAACCAATCACTGGCAAACAGCATGTTACAACAATAATTTCCTGGCAATTAGAGCCTTAACACAAAGTGGAAAATTTAGGAACTTACTTCATTTCTTTAAAACAAAAGAGAGAAATAATTTTTACCACACTTTAAAATATGAAACTCACTTATTCTAAAAGAAGTTCAGGAACTTTGATTAGAAAATTTAAAAGTCCCTAATGAGAATTCCTTTCCAGCTTGACAGTGATTAAAAGAATATCATCATTCAGAACATAGCTGTCCATGAATCAAAAATTCTTGTCTCTGAGAAAGAATGTTGAAGCCAATTATGCAAATGTGCAGAAGGGAGAAAGACAAGATTTCAAACCTCTTAATATGACCAAAGAGCACATTTTCAAACCAAACTCAGCTTTTAGGTTTTTATTCTATAAATCTGTAAATCTTAAAAACAAAGATAAAACAAAAAATACATACACACCAATTTTCTGATGTTAATCTAAGACAACTGTGACCCCTACTGTCCACATGTGTTTGCACATTTAAATTCTCAAGGCAAATTTCAGCATTGTTACCGAATATTCTTTGAGATTCTGATTTAAAAGGACACTAGACTAACAGCCAATGCAAGATCTAAAAATATGCCTCTAATTCTTAAGAAAGGGACAATTCAGCAAAATTTAAAGGAAGTGTATATATGTCAGCATGTAATATCTCTACTTTTCCTCCAATCTTTCTCCTTCAGACTAGCCATGAGCATTGCACCTGTCCCTCTCATGCCCTCATTTGTGTACAGCTAACATTTTAATATGAAAAGAAGGTCTTGATATATTCAGTTTAAAGGGATATATTGAGAAAGGTTGTCTCCCACAGCAACTGCAACCCCTATTTTGATTGGTTGTTAAGGTTTCTTAGTTCAAACTCAGGAGTTAATACAAGTTTTTCCATGTACAGAAAGGTGCACTTACAGGTAGATTAAGTATATTAGTAAGTTCGCCAGATACCTGGGTGGGACTTTTATGTAACATTCAGTGAGAAAGGTGAACTGGACATCTCATCACACCAAAGCAATATTTATTTCCATGTGCAGTTTGAGATGAAGGGTGTAGAAAAATGGAATTGATATTTAGTGAGCATCTTCTATTTAATAGTCACCATGCTAAGGTTTTTATACTTATTTTCTTAAGTTAATATTTGGAGCTTCATGAGCTATTGATTATTATGTCAACTTCAGAAAATCTGAGTGATTGCCCAAGGTTACATGAGGATTAAGTGGAAGAGCCAGGATTCAAACCCAAGTCTACCTGGTTCCAAAGCATAGGCTCTCACATTAAATGATTCTGCCCTTCACATCCTATTATATTTAGGATTCAGAAAACAGCACAGAAAAACAGAGTGAAAAAAACAATTTCTTCAAAGATCAATAGAACATGTTTTCCTAACTCTATGAATTAAAGTCAATAAATACTTATTTATTGCTACTATGTAGCTAAAATATTGCCTTATTCTAAAGAGAAATCAAAGGACCTTTTAACATCAAAAGTACATGTAAAGAACAAACGTAGGTAAGTCCCAAAGGACTTAGACAAAAATAGATAAGTCCCAAAGAGGGAAAATACTTAATAAACACTTGAAAACATGTTCAGGCCTTATCATTAAAAGATATACATTAAAATAATAAGGGGATAACAGTTTTCATTTTTCACATTGGCTAAAATTAATATTTTACCCTAGTAAGTATTTGTGAGGATATACAATATGGAAATTGATTGTGCTTTATGTGGCTGTGGGACTCTACGGTAGTTTAACCTGCTGGGTGTCCTGTCTCATGCCTGTAATCCCACCACTTTGGGAGGCTGAGGCAGGAGGATCACTTGAGGCCAGGAGTTTGAGGCTACAGTGAGCTATGATCCTATTACTGCATCCAGCCTGGGTGACAGAGTGAGACAACTTTTAAAAAAAAATTAAATAAAAATAAATAAATAAATAAAATGGTTCAACCTGTTATAAGTTGGGGGTCAGTTTAGTAAAGTCTAATAAAATTGAAGAGGAACATATCCCATGATCCAGCAGTTTTATTTCTGATAACATAGCCTTAGAGAAATATAGCACCTTGTGCAGGATATATATATATATATAGATAGATAGATAGATAGATAGATAGATAGATAGATAGATAGATATAGATATATAGATATAGATATAGATATATTCTCTATATATATTCTATATCTATATTCTCTATATATATATTCTATATATATATTCTCTATATATATTCTATATATATATTCTCTATATATATTCTATATATATATTCTCTATATATATTCTATCTATATTCTCTCTATATATATTCTATCTATATTCTCTCTATATATATTCTGTATATATATTCTGTCTATATGTTGTATATATATATTCTCTCTATATATTCTATATATATTCTTTCTATATATTCTATATATATTCAATATATATAGTATATATTGAATATATATATATTCTTTGCAGCATTATTTTATTCACACACACACACACCCACACACACACACACACACACACACACCCACACCCTTTTTTTTTTTTGAAGCAAGGTATTTCTTTGTCACCCAGGCTGAAATGCAGTGGCACAACCTCAATCTCCTAGTCTCAAGCAATCCTCCTGTCTCAGCCTCCTAAGTAGCTGGTACTACAGGTATGTACCACTACACCTGGCTAGTTTTTTTTTTTTAATTTTATTTTTAGTAGAGACAGGGTCTCACTATATTGCCCAGGTTGGTCTTGAACTCCTAGCCTCAAGCAGTCCTTCCACCTTGACCTCCCAAAGTGCTGGAATTACAGACATGAGCCACTGTGTCCAACCATTCTGATGCTATTATGTCTGAATTCCTGTCTCTATTTATTTTTCTCCAGGTTATGGATCACTTTTTCTGCACATATATTTTTATATTGTTGAATGCTAGGTTTTAAAAATTTCTTCAAAAGGTATCAATTTTTCTAGCAGGCAATTAATTGAAGATCACTTTGATAATTTTAAGCCTTATTTTTAATCGCTTTTTGAGGATCTCAAGAGAAGACTTTAGGATTACTTTAATTCTATTTTTTAAGTCATGACTATTCTGTAGTCTCTACTGAATGCCCCATGGGTTAAGATCTCTCTGCTTTGGCTGGTGAAAACTCAAATAACTCCCAGTCTTGTGTGAAACCTTTATCAGCTTTCAGCTTTCAGCTCCTTAATAATTATTCTTCCCACAGAGCTTATTCTTGTCTGACCTCATAGGGTTTTACCCTATGCATGCTTGGCTTTGTATTTATCTATAGTTTCAATGGGTCCCCTACACAGTTTTCTGGTACTTTTTCTCTGTGTAGCTTTTTCCTATTGGGCACTATGCCCCAAAACGTTCTGTTTAGGTTTTCCTTTTCTCCTCCATAGCCTGAAAATTACCTCTAGGCAGAAAGTCAAGCCTTTCTATGTAGGGATACAACAGTTTTCTTGTTCCCTCTCAGGGATCAGAGTCTCATGCTGCCTGCTTTCTAATGTATAAAAATGCTTGTTTGCTACAGGTTTTGCAGTTTTCTAATTTGTTTGTGACGTAAGATTCATTTTAAATCCTTTTACTCATTCATAGCTGAAAGCTAAAGTTGAATTTCATTTTTTTGTAATCTGTAATAGAAAATGTGAGATTGCAGTGGGGTATTAATGCTAGTGCATATTGATAGGTAAAATACAATGAACAGGTAGCATGTGATAAAGTGTAAAGAAGACAGAGAATTGCTAGAGCCAGTTCCTTACATGGGAAAAGGCAAGAGGATGTAGTTTGTGTAGAACGAGTGTGGTTTACCTTAGATAAAATCATGGACAGGACATTTTATGTGTGAGAGTATAGAAGAAGAAGTATTAGAAGTTTGAGAGAAGAGACAAAATTGTGAAATAGTTGTCCAGAAAAGTAGAAGAGTGAATTAACTAGGAAAATAAAGTAGGGTTTCCAAACAGCAGTAAAAAAGGCCAACCTGAGGTTAGTAGTCATGAATTTAAAATGAGAATGGAAATGTTGCATGTTTCCTACCAGTCATGTTTCGCAGTGCAGCTGCAGACCCAAGCAAGGGAGGCAAAGATTTTGATTTAACCAGGGCTAAAACTTTTCCTTGGCAATCTAGAATTATATACTTTTCTATTTCATTTACTTACCTTTTAATTTGTGTGTTCATTCCCTTGGTGCATATATTCATGGTGACTGTAATATAAAATACATTGTCTCTGAGTTCAATCACGCCATATCTTAAATTACTTCATTTGTGACTTTTCAACATTTAAGGATTGATAGCTATTCATTATATACTGAAGCATACTCAAATCTCACCACTTGAATGCAATATACCAAAGAATTTTATTACATAATTCTCTATTTTTCTATTTTTTCAACCTGACCTGATTTGTCTCCAAGGGGGAAAATCTCAATAAAATATATATACTTTGCTTTCTGATACTACCTTGATAGTTTAAACAAATCACTTAAAGCACATGATATCCATTTTAAAGTCAGTGCAATTTTATTTTCAGGAAAATAAGATTCTTAATCCATAGTAGAATGTTATTATATTAAATATTTATAGAATATAGTTTTATTACTGCCTTGGCCACTTTTAACTGATTTATAGATAGCAGAAATTTACTATATAATCATTTTGAAAATATTAAGGGACACAGCTACACCAATCCATTATTGTATTACACATACTTTGAGTGTTATTCACTCATTTAAAAGTGATAATAACACAGCAATTTCAAAGTTTTTCTCTGTCACTTCAGGCATCAAGGCGTCTTGTAGCTTATTTCTCAATTGAAGGATGCATCATTTGGGGGCAGGGGCTTCAAGTCACAAAAGTATGTTTATGCTCTCTGTATATCCTTAACTTTTAAACTTAGAATAGTATCTTTAAACTTTTAAACTTACAAAGTATTACCAATGCATGAACATAAATTATCATATAATAAATCAGGACATGGACCAAATAGAAGATAAATTATTTTATAAATTGAAATCTTAGCAATATCCACAGTTTATTTATAAATCATTTTCTATTCTTCTAAAGTCAAAAATTATAGAAATATAATGAATTTCTAAACTCTTCAAGGCCAAGACCTATGGTCTCAATAACAAAGAAATGCTATCCTTCTTGGGGATATATTTTTTTTCTCCAATGAAAATAAATCCTCTAATTCTTTTTTTTTCTAGTTTTTTTCTTATTTATTTTTATTTCTTCTAAAAAAAAATGGGATACATGTGCAGAACATGCAGGTTTGTTACACAGGTGCCCGTGGGCCATAGTGGTTTGCTGCACCTATTGACCCGTCCTCTAAGTTCCCTCCTCTCACACTCCACCCCTCAACAGGCCCTGGTGTGTGTTGTTCCCCTCTCTGTGTCCCTGTGTTCTCAATGTTCAACTCCCACTTATGAGTGAGAACACACAGTGTTTGGTTTTCTGTTCCTGTGTTAGTTTGCTGAGGATTATGGCTTCCAGGTTCATCCGTGTCCCTGCAAAGGACATAATTCGATTCCTTTTCACAGCATAGTATTCCATGGTGTATATGTACAATATTTTCTTTATCCAGTCTATCATTGATGGGCATTTGGGTTTGTTGTCTTTGCTCTTGTAAATAGTGCTGCAATAAACATACATGTGCATGTGTCTTTATAGTAGAATGATTTATATTCCTTTGGTTTATATATCCAGTAATGGGATTGCTGGGTCAAGTGGTATTTCTGGCTCTAGATCCTTGAGGAATTGCCTTACTGTCTTCCACAGTGGTTGAACTAATTTACATTCCCACCAACAGTGTAAAAGGGTTCCTATTTCTTCACAGCCTCGCCAGCATCTATTGTTTCCTGACTTTTAAAAATAATTGCCATTTTGGCTGGCGCGAGATGGTATCTCATTGTTGTCTTCTTCATTTGCATTCCTCTGATATCAGTGATGTTGAGCTTTTTTTCTTGTTTGTTGGCTGCATAAATGTCTTCTTTTCAGAAGTGTCTGTTCATATCCTTTGTCCACTTTTTGATGGGGTTTTTTTTTCTTGTGTGTGTGTGTGTGTGAGTGTATATATATATATATATATATATATATATATATATATATATACTCTTTTATATATATAATATATATAAAATATATATACATATATATATTTTTTTTTGAGACAGGGTCTCACTTTGTTGCCCAGGTTGGAGTGCAGTGGCTTGATCTCGGCTCACTGCAACCTCCGCCTCCCAGGTTCAAGCAATTCTCCCACCTCAACCTCCCGAGTAGCTGGGATTACAAGCGCCCATCACCACAACCTGGTTAATTTTTGTATTTTTAGTAGAGAAGGGGTTTCATCATGTTGACCAGGCTGGTCTGGAACTCCTGACCTCAAGTGATCCACCTGCCTTGGCCTTCTAAAGTGCTGGGATTACAGGTGTGAGCCACTGCATCCAGCCTCTTGTAAATATTTTTTAAATTCCTTGTAAATTCTGGATATTAGACCTTCGTCAGATGGGTAGATTGCAAAAATTTTCTCCCGTTCTGTAGGTTGCCCGTTCACTCTGATGACAGTTTCTTTTGCTCTGCAGAAGCTCTTTAGTTTAATTAGATCCCATTTGTCAATTTTGGCTTTTGTTGCAATTGCTTTTGGTGTTTTTGTCATGAAGTCTTTGCCCATGCCTGTGTCCTGAGTGGAATTGCCTATGTTTTCTTCTAGGAATTTTATGGTTTGGGGTTTTACATTTGATTTTTGTATAAGGTGTAAGGAAGGGGTCGAGTTTCAGTTTTATGCATATGGCTAGCCAGTTTTCCCAGCACCATTTACTGAATAGGAGATCCTTTCCCCATTGCTTGTTTTTGTCAGGTTTGTTGAAAATCAGATGGTTGTAGATGTGTGGTGTTATTTCTGAGGTCTCTATTCTGCTCCATAGGTCTATATGTGTGTTTTGGTACTAGTACCATGCTGTTTTGATTACTGTAGCCTTGTAGTATAGTGCAAAGTTAGGTAGTGTGATACCTTCAGTTTGTTCTTTTTGCTTAGGATTTTCTTGCCTACACAGAGTCTTCTTTGATTCCACATGAAGTTTAAAATAGTTTTTTCTAATTCTGTGTAGAATGTCAATGGTAGTTTGATGGGGATTGAATCTATAAATTACTTTGGGCAGTATGGCCATTTTCACCATATTGATTCTTCCTATCCATGAGGATGGATGGAATGCTTTTCCGTTTGTTTGTGTCCTCTCTGATTTTCTTGAGTAGTGGTTTGTAGTTCTTCTTGAAGAGGTCCTTCACATCCCTTATTAGCTGTATTCCTAGGTATTTTATTCTCTTTGTAGCAATTGTGAATGGGAGTTTATTCATGCTTTGGCTCTCTGCTTGCCTATTGTTTGTGTAACGAATGCTTATGATTTTTGCACATTGATGTTGTATCCTGAGACTTTCCTGAAGTTGCTTATCAGCTCAAGAAGTTTTTGGGCTGGGATGATGGGGTTTTCTAAATAAAAAATCATGTCATCTGCAAACAGAGACAACTTGACTTCCTCTCTTCTTATTTGAGTACCCTTTATTTCTTTCTCTTGCCTGATTGCCCCGGCCAGAACTTCTAATACTATGTTGAATAGGAGCGGTGAGAGAGGGCATCCTCGTCTTGTACTGGTTTTCAAAGGGAATGCTTCCAGCTTTGGCCCATTCAGTATGATATTGGCGGTGGGTTTGTCATAAATAGCTCTTATTATTTTGAGATATGTTCCATCAATACCTAGTTTATTGAGTTTTTAAAGTGAAGGGATGTTTAATTTTATCAAAGGTTTTTTTTGCATCCATTGATATAATCATCAGGTTTTTGTCTTTAGTTATGTTTATGTGATGGATTATGTTTATTGATTTGCATATGTTGAACTGGCCTTGCATCCCAGGGATGAAGCTGACTTGATCGTGGCAGATAAGTTTTTTGATGTGCTGTTGGATTCAGTTTCCCAGTATTTTATTGAGGATTTTTGCACAGATGCTCATCAGGGATATTGACCTGAAGTTTTCCTTTTTTGTTGTGTCTCTTTCTGGTTTTGCTATCAGGATGATGCTGGCTTCATAAAATGAGTTAGGGGGGAGTCCCTCCTTTTCAATTGTTTGGAATAGTTTCAGAAGAAACGGTAGCAACACCTATTTCTGGTAGAATTCAGCTGTCAATCCATTTGATCCTAGGCTTTTTTTTTTCTTTTTTTTTTGGTTGGTAGGCTATAAATTACTGCCTCAATTTCAGAGCTTGTTAGCTGTCTATTCAGGATCAATCCTTTAATTCTAAAGAACTATATAACTTAAGAGCTACAAAAGGCCACTTCATTCTTTATGTGGTATTTAGACTTTTATTGTTTTGACTGCCTTCCTGCAACCATATTCAGTTTTGCAAAATGTTGCACTACAAAGTGGAAACAATTATTTAGAGAGGTTCTGACAAATACAATAAGACCAGTGGAATTATCATCTTCTTTGTACTGAACACATTAATTACTTCAATCTAAATAATGCCTTGACTCTGACAACAACATCACAACGTGGACTTATTTGCGGAAGATGCTACCTATCTGGCAGTACCCTAGCAGGCTAGTTTGCTGACCTTGGTCCCATTGTGGATCTTGAAATTGCCCTATAATTGGCTCCAGCCCTTCTTAACTGTGATCTGAGAGCACACCTGCTTACCCAAGAACCTACCAGGACACATGTCTATCTGTGACCCTGCAGAGAGGCCTGAAGATCTCTGTCTCAGCTGTGGACCCTGAAACAACTCTGTGACTTGCTTCCGATATTGGCATCAGCCCCTTTCAGCCATGGGCCAGGGCACTACAACCTGTCCAGGGACCCACGCAGTGATCCATAGAGAGCCTTCCCAGAGACTCTGAGGTAGCCACAACCATCAGCTCACCTAGTCACAGGACCACGATCTATAAACCCTGAAGTGGGCCCTCATTCCAGTACCAGCCTAATGGGCCAATGTCCTGGAGACAGCCCCATGCACAGAAAAGTGCCTTAAATTAAGGCACTCACATAACCAAGATCCTTGAAGCAATCCCATTGACATGGAAACCTAACAGGAAAAGATTTTAACTTGCCAAAGCCAGTTTGTAAAGACTAAAAGAGGTGTTTACACCTTCAAATGCACAGACATTAATGTGAGGCCACATGGATAACAAAAAAAAAAACAAAAAAAAAATCAGGCAAACAGCACACCAACAAAGGAAACTAATAAAGCTCTGATAATTGAACCAAAAGAAATGGAGATATAAGAGCAGCTTGAAAAAGAATTCAAAATAATTACCTTAAGCTCCATGACGTGCAAGAAAATACAGATAGATAAATAAATAAAATTAGGGAAATAATGTATGAACAAAATGAGAAGCTTTAATAAAGAAATAGAAACCATAAAAAGAACAGAAGTTGCCACCATTTATGCATTATCTCTGCACTCTTATCCATAGACATTTGATTCCATAAACTAGTACAACCCATTGTGTTTTTCACTATTAAACTTCCTATTATTAAAGACAGTTATTTCAGTCAGTAAAGACCTTCATATTTTAATATTATTCATAAACATTTTTGTTTTCATTCACAAATATAACAAAAGCATCTTTCATTCAGTTATTCAAGAGGTATTATCTAGTGTTTTCTGTGTTTTAGGAACTGTTAACCATATAGATTAATTCATCTCTTGCTCTCATAAGGCTTACTTTGTTTTTATTCAAATAGATAATTTAAATTGCTGAAGGGAGCTGATGCAACAGCTCTTCTGACAAGTCATCCCTGTCCTCTAAGAACAAAGTGCCCTCCTCTGTGCTTCTGCAACCCAATATATATGCAGAATCCAGTATACAAGCTCTTTGTTCACAGCACTCAGCACAACATTGAACTCATGTGTGATGTGTCTTCTCCACTACTGGATGCTGAATTTTGTATTTTTTTATCTCAGCATCTAAATCACCAAGTACACTGTCTGGTTTCAGTACTTTCTGAATACACATTAGCTGAGTTATTGAATTGGACAAACCAAAGTACAGAGACACGGAGCATGATACCCACTCAAAAAAAAATAAAGACTCTCCAGCTTTCTTCCCAATTACCACTTTTTTCAAAATAAATTTTATTGTCTATATTTAAGCTATCCAACATGGATGAACCTGGATGACACTGGGCTAAGTGAAATAAACCAGACATAGAAAGAAAAATATTATATGATCTTACTTATAAGTGGAATCTATAATAATTTTTTAATCAAATATACAGAGCTAGAAAATAAAACAATGGTTACCATGGGCAAGGAGGTGGTGAAGATGGAGGTAAGGGGATATAAAGTAGTAGATATTTGGGTATTTTGGGGTTATTTTTCAGAAAAGTCTCTTTTCAAATCATAAAAAGTATTAAATTCGCTCATTTACTCACTTCTTTGTAGCTCTTTCCACATAGTTTCATATATGCTAAATTCTACATCAGAAAATAAAAGTATTGGTATTCTGAAAACATTAACTCCTGTCTCTTTATTTCAGGAAGTCAGATTAAGTTTGAAAATCCTCATTTATTCTTGCTAGTTACTAGTAACATTTTATGTTATCCACTAAGATGATTGGTATTAACCTAAAAGAAATTCAATTTTTACTGCAGTTGTATTTCTCAGAACATGACTATATCAGTTATTTTTATGTTGTTTCCATTTTCTGTATTATTATAATTTAATAACTGGGGGATGCATATTTGGATGATAATTTGAGATCATTTCTAGGTCTGCAACATAACTAGATGAAATAAGAAGAAATTTTTGTTATTAGATTTAGAAAAAGCTGGGAACTAAGATGGGGCTATCAATCAGAGCGCCTCAATTACTGTCCACATGGCACCATCATATGGCTTGGGCTTCTCACAGCATGGTGGTGGAGTTTTGCAAAGGGAGCACTCCAAAAGCAAATATTCCAGAGGACAAGCTCCAGTGTGCAAGTTTTATCCAGTCTTTCAATGCATGAAACTTGCTAATGTCCCATTGGGGAAAGTTAACCACCTGATAAAAACCAGAATGGGTAGAGGAGAGTTGTGCCCCCAGCCAAGAGGCAGTGGGAGAGGTCTACATCAGCTGGGAAGAGTACTTGGCCACTGACACGGTTTAAAATTCAAGTACATGATACTAACAAAAATTAAAGCAACTTTCAGTTGATTTTGTCATTATTTTTAAGTTCTCTACAGACAATGCCAGCCTTCCAGGGCAGACTATCTCCTTTTGAGGACAGAGACTCCATATGGCATAAATACAGGAAGCATAGTTTCTTTAGGGCCACCAAAATAACAATCTGCCAAAAAGTTTGAAAGTTATTTTAAGACAAAAGTCAATAAGTTTGAGCAATTGATTAAATATAGAGAATAAAGGAAAGCAATGAGTCAAAAGTTACAGTGAAGAGTGTCTAGCCTAAATGTCTTAGGGTATTGGTTGTCTCTCAAAATAAATAAGTAAACAATGATAATCCTGAGGCCAGGAAACATTTTAGTAACATAAGATGTGTTTAGTGAGAAATGTTGATAAAATTTCTCTGTAGAAATTCCCAAAATGTAATGAAAAATGTGTTTGCAATTTATGTCGGGGGGAAATATGTGTTGGAAATATTGAAGTGTGGAGAGAATAAAATGAGGAAAAGTGAAGAAAGATGAGGCACTGCAGCGGGGTGCTCACATTTCAAAACTAATAGGATGGAATAAGTCAGGAAATAGGCTTAGTGAGAGGGCAGTAGAATCGAAAGAAACCAAAGAAGGAGAACATGTCAATAAGTAGTAGATAGTTAATTAGGCAAAATGCTAGGGAAAAAAAATAGTAATATCCAAAAATAGGCCAATTAACTTAGCTCTTGGGATGTCCCTTCTAACAAAACATTTCAGCTGAATAGTGCGGAAAAGTCAAATTGTAAAAGGTTGAGGAGGAGCAATGACCATCTAACTAACTGCACCTGGCATTTGAGTGACCACTATGATGAGCTTACCATACAATATCTTATTTAATACAACAACCCGGTGAGGCAGGTCAGAATCACATTTCATTGTGTCAAAAAAATTATCTGAAGCTTGGAAACACATAAAAGAGAGACCTGGATTATTTTTCAGTGTGGTGCAGATTTGACTTTTTATTGTCTGAACAATTTTTGAGTTTGAGAGACACAGGTTAACTTTAAGATTTTGGCCCAGTAGAGATGAAAATAATTACTCTTTGGTGGAACAGATAATGTCTTTTGTAAATTAACTAGCTTGTGTCTAAAGTAGTTTCCTTGTAAAATTCTCAAATTGTTGATTATACCTTTAAAATATTGTTTTGACTGGTCTTAATTGCAGTTTGACTGGTCCTTCTTTGCAGTTCCTTCATTGCATTCTAGAGGAAGTTGCTCTCAAGGACTGGGGTGGGGTGGGTACCCCCCAGGCTCATAGGTGTATCTACATTCCTAACCCTGGTGTCTTTATGGTGGGGTGTGGGAAGAAGAGAACCTTAGCTAAGAAACTTTTCTCCATTCTGACTCAGTATTTCTGTCTCCCTAGCCTTTCCCCGTCTCCCTTCTCCAGACACTGAGGGTTCATAAAATTGCAGATCCTGACTATTTTAGATTTTACATATAAGTGAGATTATGAAGTATTTGTATTTCTGTGTCTGACTTATTTCACTTAACATAATGTCCTCCAGTTTCATCCATATTGTCTCAAATAACAGGATTTCCTTCTTTTAAGGCTGAATGGTATTCCTTTATGTGTGTGTGTGTGTGTGTGTGTGTATGTGTGTGTACTGCACTTTGTTTATTCATTCATCCATCATTGAATCATTGAATGTTTAGGGTGTTTCCATATTTTGGCTATTGTGAATAATGCTGGAATAAACACAAAAGTGCAGATATTTCTTCGACATACTTATTTTATTTCCTTTTGATATTTCCAGAAGGGAGCTTGCTGGATCATAAGGTAGTTCTTTTAATTTTTTGAAAAACCTCCATGCTGCTGTCCATAATGGCTGTACCATTTTACATTCACACCAACAGTGTACAAGGGTTCTCTTTTCTCCACATCCTCACCAAGTTATCTTTTGTTTTTTTTTGATAATAGCCATCCTAGCACATATGAGGTTATATATCATGGTGGTTTTGACTTACATTTCCCTGATGATTAGCAATGCTGAGCACATTTTCATACACCTGTTGGAAACTCATAGTAGCAGACAATAGAATGATGGTTGCCAGGTGCTAGGGAAAGAAGAAACAGGGTGAAACTGGCCAAAGGGTAGAAAATTTCAGTTAGGCAAGATGAATAATTTCTGGAGATCTAATGTATAGTAATGTGATTAGTTTACAGTACTATAGTATATACTTGAAATTTGCTAAGAGGGTAGATTGTAAGTGTTCTCACCACATACACACTGCTAAAACAAGTTTAGCCTAAAGCTGTCTCCTTACATATTTTAAGTCTGGCTTAAAGGTTTCTCTGTACATCGTGAACTGTAACAAGTGGAGGTGTAACCAGACCATGGCCTGTGCTTCCGCCAATCACTAAGTTTTGGCCAATCAAATGTAGCTAACAGTTGGAACCCTGTTCAAATAAGGTAAACACTGAGCTGTAACCAATCCAGCTGTTTCTGTACCTCGCTTCCATTTTCTGTACATCACTTTCCTTTTTCTGTCCATAAATCTTCTTCCTACACGTGGCTGCGCTGAAGTCTCCAAAAATACTGGCTGGGAAGAGTGCCGAATGTGTAAATTGTTCATTGCTCAATTAAACTCTTTTAAATTTAATTTGGCTGAAGTTTTTCTTTTAGCAACACAAAAAATGGTAACTGTGAGGTGATGCACATTCTGATTAGCTTGATTGTGGCAATTATTTTACAATGTATACATATATCAAAATATCAAGTTGTACACCTTAAATATGTACAATTTTTATTTGTGAATTATACCTCAATAATGCTGGAATTAAAAAAAATGCAGGAGCCTTTTGCCAGGGCTCCTCAGCAGTGAGATAATTCTCCCCTGTCTATCATGTGTCCATTAAAGCCTCATCCGGTGCTGTCTTTTGGGGGAAAATAAAATACTGGTGAACCATTGCCTCGCTTTTTTGCCTCTTGCTGTGCTGTCATAATACATAAAGAAAGACTTAATTGTTAGTTTCAGCTTGGCTTATTCTAATTGACCACCTCCATACCTGGCAGCTAATCATGTTCAAATCAAAATATTAGCAATTCGATTTAAACAGAAATTTGACAATTTGGACACTGGGAAACACGTAGGATATAAAAAAGATGCCTTAAAAATTCTAACTTACATTCAATGTGTGATTACATTTTGCCAGGCATGTAGCTCTTTTAAAGGATAAAGTATTTATTTGATAATTGCAGCAAGCCCAAATAGATGGAGGTGTTATATTGTGCTACTAACCTTACAAAAAAAAAAAGAAGTTAAAAATGGATGATAATAATCTGAACAGAAGGAAAATAAAAAGAAATCTGGGAAGAAATAGAAGCACTAGGGATACACCAATTTGATGCCCCTTTCTTAAGTTACCAACATGTTGTCAACTAAACATGGGACACTTATACTTGTACATGGGTTTGGTAATGAGAGTAAGAAAGTGGTCAATAAAAAGAGAGAGACTTTTTCTTAGGATAAGTCTAGCATGTGTGCATGCATTCTGGTACCTGGAAAAAAAAAGAGAATAGGAAGAGAACAACTGAAGATGCCAGAAAAAAAGAGAAAACTCTTTTTCCAGAAAAATTTTGGAGAAAGAAGGAGGGGATCGGGTTGAAATCACAAGTGAAAAGGTCAGCACTATAAAAAGAAGAAGGTTGCCTTTTTCTCAAAGTCTGGAGGAAAGAAATAGGGAAAAGTAAAAGTGCAGGAATAATAAGAGGCAGTAGAGATGGATTTCAGCAGGTAGCAAGGGGTGGAGGGATGGAATTCTCATTCGATGACCTCAATCTGCTCAGGAAAATCAGAGACAAGGTCATGCACTGAGGATGAAAAGATTTGAGGTTGATTGGAAGGGACAGGACTGGAGCAGCCACTCAGGTAATGCATTAGAGAGTGAACGTGAAATAAATAAGAGAATCAGTAAGCCAAGGAGAGAAAAGCAGTGTTGTTACTTGGTCTGACACTGTAGTCTGAGACTGAAATGCATAAAGAGGAATTGTTGGGACCCAGGATTGGGGGATTCTCAAGGTAGTCACAGAGGAGGGAAAGCAAGCCTGAGATTTGAGAATATTGAGAAAGAAGCACCCCTGAAATGTCTCGCCAGAGCATTTAAACAGGGTGGAAGCAGCAGCCTGGCTGTCGCTGCTACATGTTCCCATAGCATCCTGTAATTCCACCATCACAAGGGGATTTAATTGTGTATTTGGTAAGCTTCCCTCAACTCAGCTGTAAGCAACCCCAGTGCAGGGTTGTGACTCCCTTATTCATTCCCCAATGTGCAGCAAACACAGCACCTGCCCCATATGTAGAAAAGAGCCAATAAATAGTCATTTACATGGACTTTGACCAACTGTGTTGTAACCTTCTGGCATTTATACTATTCTAGATCCCATTGCATTTTCTCTCCTGCGTTTTCTCCCTGCTGGAGGCTCTGATCTTCATGACTCATATATGTCCTGATGCTGACCTGCCTACCTGGCTTTGTCTAGTATACTTGTCCCCACCTTTCAGGCAGATTATCTATTCCAGAATCATTCTTCTCCCTTGGGTACTAGTTTCCAGCTATCCCTTTCCCAGCTTATTGCTTAAATTCACTCTATGTGCTGACTCTTTTTATGCCTAACACCTGACTCTGGTGCACTAATATCAATAGAGCAAGACAGGAAAACCTCATGCTGAAACACAGACAGCATCAGGAGACAGAACTAATCAGGTCAGAGTTAGAACCAGGGGAGAGAAGTTCTAACACCTGGCATCAGTAAAGAGAATGTAAATGCAGGTGAGAAATATGTGAAAGGCTGAGAACCAGAAAGTCAAGAAGGGAACAAAAAAAGTAGTGTTGAGGGTGCCAAAACAGTGATAAGTTATAAGGATTAAGCTTGAATTTGTGGGTTAAAAGAGATAAGGCTGGTGACTCATATAGCACAAATACCTCAACTCTGACACCTATGGCCTTTTAGGGACAAAGAAAGAAACTGACACTTAAAAAGAAATCATATGTATTTGATTATATTTGTGCCCATAAGCACGGTACATTGTAATTATTACCAGGGGATCTATGGGTTCAGAGCAGTTATATCATTTGGGATCAGGGATATCAGTCCATGAATTCAGCAGACATTTGTTGTACACCCACTGTGTGCAACTTAGGAATACTCAGAGCAATAACAAAGGCATGGTCACTGTTTTCAACAGGTTTACAATCTTGGGAAGAAGAGAGACATGAGAATATACTTTGAGCAGTGGTATCTTCAAATGGTAAGATAGAAGATGGGAGAAACTCTCCTCCCCTGGAGGCGTCAAGTGGGGCTTCTAGAGCAGGTGACAATGGAGTGAATCCTAAAAGATGATAGGGGTTCACTGGGAAGGAAAATTCTTAAGTCATAGGAAAAAGTACATCTCAGAATATGCCACTGTGAAACAGCACATTTCATCTGGCAAACTGTGGGTATCTCAGCATGGTTGGCACATTGAGCAGTATCAGAGAATGATAAGAAATAAAACTAAAGAAAGTAAGCAGGTGCCAGATGACTAGGGCCCTTGCCATGGGACATTGCAATCGTACGCTGTAGGTGAGAAGAAAAGTCTCCATGAAAAAATAAGGAAAAGCACCAGGAAATTTGCAGACATGGGAATAGAGAATTCATGGGAAACATGACGCTTTTTCAGATATTAATGGAGTAAAATGCAGAAATGTAGGCTTCCTGTGGTATTCCATGTAACTTAAGTAGGGTAAATTTGTGGAATTTAAAGAAATACTCTATATAAGGAAGATCTTTTGTTTCACTGAGGTCCTCCAGCAAATGAATTGACAGCATCGTGAGATAGTGAGTTTCCTATTTTAGGAGGTATTGAAGTAGAGGCTGCAGTCAGCCTATAAAAGGCATACTAGAAAGAGGTGATGTGAGAAGTAGAAAAGACAACCAGTACTACCTCAGGTTGTAAGATTTTCTATCTCTCCTGTACTTCAGAATACCAGGATGTTATATGCTCCATAGATGTTGAGCATTTGATTGTCTGTAGCAAAATCAAAAATTAATCTGGCATAATCCTTTAACAATTTCCAGGACTCAGTGGTTCTGTGAAAATACATCTATAAACCAACTTTCATAATTTAAAGAACTTCTCAGACTGTGGAGGATGAGATTTAAAGCTAAAAGTGCAAAAAGGTAAAGTTCCTAAATTACAGATAAAATCATTTAACCTGTTTAAAATCCATTTCCTGATGTTAAGGATATTTTAGCCTTCATTCCAAAAAGACATACAGTCAATTATATTCAAGGATTTTAAAACAGACTTTACTCCACTCAAGCGGCATTTATAACAAGACTTGTTCTTTAACAAGAATCTTGTTCCTATATTTCTCTAAGTCTAATTTATCTTACTTGAATTATTTTCCATGGAGATTGAGGTCAGAAGGTATGTCAGTCTTATCATTTTTTATCCCAAATGTGACGTGCTCTCATAATTGCATTTAGCTTACCAATATGTGTAATGACATACAATTGTTCCTGCTAAATATTAATTATGTAAAGGAGTTCAAATAGATGAAAATTTATGAATAGGGCTATTATTCTTTTTTAAAGCTAATTTTTTTGTCAATGAAAGAGTATTTGACAAATTTTTTTTGTATTTTAATGAAATCAACTCATGAGAAATCAGAGAATTGGTTTATGAATATTGTTAACATTTCTTAAATCTACCTGTTTTAGTTTCATTCAAATCGTACACCACAAAGTAAATACTGACTTAATCAGCAAGCATTTCCAGACAAATACTGCAGTTTCCAATTAAGCAAGGCAAAACCACAATGCAACCATGGAGAGTCTGTTTTGCTTCATTGCATTTTGCAAAGTTTCCCTTATTGAACCTTTACTCAGGAAATAGAAGGTCAGTCTCTTTGGGAAGTCTGAATCTTATGTGGTCATCTCCTCATTCTCTCATCACCCTGTTACCAGCCATTAGCAGCTTTTTCTACACCTTATGAATTGTCTAGGAACTACTTCCCAAGCCTGGATGTTCATCAGAATCTCCAGAAAATCATGTTTAAAAATATAGATTACAAGTTCCAAGATCTACAAGCTTTAGATGTAAGGCTCTGAAATCTGTATTTTTCTTAATAGAAGTTCCCCATGAGGAAGTGATAGAGCGAATCCTTGACTAGTGTTGTGTGCAGATTCAGTCTGAGTCCCTTGATAACCAGCTTTTCTCTGGAAAGCCAGATTCTTTACAAATGGTCTCTACAGTTGTTCTGAAAGTTCCATATGAGAAAATGTCTACTATATAGTCTCTTCCAGTATTGTATTTAAGTTTCTCCAGTACTTTTCTACCACTTCCATGGGCCCAACTTTCAGATGTTTTCCCCATCACTAGTTTTCAAGCCCTGGGGTAACCTCAAGTGCTCTGAGAAGAGCCATAATGCAAAACAAATCTTGTCCTTCATACTTCACCATCTACAAATGCCTTCACTTACTTCCCAGCAAAGCATCCCGAGCTTGTGCACAAATTCCCCTTCTTCCCACATGTAATATTTACAGGCTCTATGCTTTCAAAATCAACTTTACATAGGTATAATTCACATACAACAATTGTACCCATTTTAAGTGAATGTTTTATGAGTTTTGACAAATTTTTATACCTGTGTAACCACTTCTACTATCAGAATACAGAACATTTCCCAAATATTCTCTTGTGCCCCATTCCAGGTAATTCTCCCCAAGCTCCAGCCCCAGAAAACTTCTGACTTGCTTTCTGTCACTGTAGAGGTCCATATAAATAGAACCATGCAATATGTATGCTTTTGTGTATAGCTTCCCTTGCTCAGCATAATTGTATTAGTCAGGATTCTCTAGAGAAACAGAATCAACAGGAGATGCTTATATATATATATATATGGGTATATGTATATATATGGGTATATATATGGGTATATATGGATATATATGGGTATATATATGGGTATATATAGATATATATACGAGTGTATATGTATAGATATATATATATGGAGAGATTAATTGAAGTGGCTCTTGCAATAATGGAAGCCAGAAGGCCAAAAATCTGCAAGATAGGCCAGCAAGCTGGAGATCAAGGGAAGAGTCAGTATTGCATTTCAAGTCTGAAGGCCATCTGCTGGCAGAATTCCTTCTTGCTTGGCAGTCAGGAAGCGAGTCAGAAGTTTTCTGGGGCTGGAGTTTGGGGAGAATTAACTGGAATGGGGCACAAGAGAATATTTGGAAAATGACTACTGGGGAAATGTTCTATATTCTGATAGTAAAAGGGGTTACACAGGTATAAAAATTTGTCAAAACTCATAAAGGCTTTCAAGTGATTAGATGATGCCCACCAACACCATGGCAGGCACTCTGCTTTATTCAAAGTTCACCAATTTAAATGTTAGTTGCATCCAAAAAACTCTTCATAAAAACATCCAGAATAGGCTGGGTGTGTTGGTTCATGCCTGTAATCACAGCACTTTGGGTGCTGGGATTGGTGGATCACTTGAGGTCAGGAGTTCAAGACCAGCCTGACCAACATGGTGAAACCCTGTCTCTACTAAAAATACAAAAATTAGATGAGTGTGGTGGTGTGCACCTGTAGTCCCAGCTACTTAGGAGGCTGAGGCAGGAGAGTCACCTGAACCTGGGAGGCGGAAGTTGCAGTGAGCCGAGATAGCGCCACTGTACTCCAGCCTGGGCATTGGAGTGATACCCTGTCTCAAAAAAAAAAGAAACATTCAAAATAGTATTTGACTTCCATGACCCAGCAAGTTTGGCACATAATACATAAAATTAACATCAAAATAATGTTCCTGTGATTCATCCACATTGTCATATACCCCAATCTGTTTCCCCTTTTTATTATTGAGTAATATTCCATTCTGTGATATAGCACCATTTGTTTATTCTCCTATTGATGGAAAACTGGATACTTTTAATTTGGGGCTATTACGAATAAAGGTGCTATGAGCATATATATACAAGTATTTGTGAGGACATATGTTTTCATTTCTCTTGGGTAAATATTTATGAGTGGGATTGCTGGGTCATATGGGAAGTATAAAGTAGTTTACTATTTTAAATTCCAAAAAGTAATGTAGGAAAGTTCTACTTGCTTCATATTTTTACCTAAGTCCTGGCACTTTCCATTGTTTTTATTGCAGCCATTCTAGTGGTGTATAACAGCATCTCACTGTGGTTCAAATTTGTGTTTTCCTGATGACAAATTATGTTAAGCATCTTTTTATGTATTGACTGGCCAATTTATATATTGACTATATGTATTATGGTTCCATATCATTGCCCTTTTGTGAGATGTCTGTTCAAATGTTTTGCCCATTTTTAAAATAAGGTAAGTTACTTCATATTATGGAATTTCAATATAAATCTTTTGACAAGTACATGTTTTGCAAGGTTTTCTCCCAGTCTGTGGCTTGACTTTTTTCTTATTAGTCTCATTAGAAGAGCGGAAGTTTTTAATTTAGTGTCCCATTTATCTTTTTCTTTCAGAAGTTGTATCTTTGTTCAATTAAAAAAAAATGCCTACCACAAAATCAGAAAGATTTTCTCCTATGTTTCCTTTCAGAAGATTTTTAATTAGTATTTACTTTTAGATTTTAATCTATGACTTATTTCAGTTTATTATTTATGTACTGCATGAGGCAAGTGTTGATATTCATTTTTTTTTCACTTGGATAGCCAATTGTTTTAATACCATATTTTCTTTTTTTTTTTTTTCCAACATGTTCGGGGGTACATGT